>NC_000006.12:93360464-93511402 GCF_000001405.40 Homo sapiens | reverse complement strand
ACTCAGTAACAAATAAGTTTTAAAAACTCATTAAAACAGGCAGAAAATAGACATTACTCAAAAGACATACAAAAGGCCAACAGGTAGATGAAAAATTGTTCAACTTCACTAATCACTAAGAAAATGCAAATTAAGACTACAATGAGATATCACTTAACACTTGTTAGAATGGCTATTATCAAAAAGACAACTAAAGATAAGAAATGTTGGTGAGGATGGGGAAAAAAGGAAACACTTCTGCACTGTTGGTAGGAATATAAATCAGTACAGCCACAGCTGAAAACTATATGGCGGTTCCTCAAAAAACTGAAAATAAAGCTACCATAAGATCTAGAAATTTCATGTCTAGATATGGATCTAAAGGGTTTGAAATCAGTACACTGAAGATACAGCTGCACTTCCATTTTTATTGCATCATTATTCACAATAGCCAAGATATGGAATCAACCTAAGTGTCCCTCAGTAGATGAATAGATAAAGAAAATATGGTATATATACACAAAGAAATACTATTCCACCTTAAAAAAAGAAAAAAAAATCCTGTCACTTACAACAATATGAGTGACAAAGAAGTCATTATATTATGTGAAATAAGTTAGGCACAGAAAGACAAATACCACGTCTGTGGTATTGGTATTCCACGTATGTAGAACCTCACCTATATGTGGAACCTCACTTATATGTGGAATCTAAAAAGAGTCAAACTCATAAAATTTGAGAATACCAGATGCTAGAGGGTGGCATGCAGTGATATACAATGGTACAAAGTTTTAGTTAGATAGGAGGAATAAGTTATTGAAATTTATTGCACAGCATACTGACTATAGTCAATAATAATGTATTGTACATTTTAAAATTGCTGAGAGTAAAGTTCAAATAATCTCACCACAAAAATGATAAATGAGGTGATCTATTAACTTAATGAAATCATTCACATTGTACCCTATACATATATACAATTATAGTTTGTCAATTTAAAAAGAAAATAAGTTTTAAAATAGTAATAATTTGTTAAGCATTTGTACGGTGGGATAAGTACTATCAAGATCTATATTGTACTGATAAAGAAACAGACAGATAAGTTACATAACTTAATGAATATCATACACTTAGTGAGAAAGTTTGGAGTAAAAATTAACTTTGATTCAAAACCATAATTATTATGTCATACTGTCTCAGAATTTTAGAAAATCAGACGGTGAGGTCCCATCAAGATATGATAACCTTAATGACAACACTAGGCATAACTTATCCGTATCCACTTAACTTTTATAAGAGTTGTCAAAAACAGGGTAGGTTATCATCCATATCCATAATAAAAGTGGCTGGAATAAATTATAGCATCATCAAAAGCATTAATAAAAGCATGATTAAAAGCAAGCCAACAAACAAGAAAAATAACTTTGAGACCTTTTACAGTATTTAGTGTGCATGTGGGGGGGCATCTCTTTCTTCATTAGACAAAAGAAAATTGTTGTAAACTTCTATGTGTATGCACCAATGCCTATGCTCAAGGATAGTTATATTGCCTGCCAAGCAAGCTGTCAGAGCCCCAGCATCAGAAAGTGGTCAGCTCGCAGGTAGTGGGGTGGTAAGAAGAATTTACTGGCAACAGTATAGGATTGAAAAGGAAAGTTTTATTAGATAGAAAGAAACAGACAACTTACAGAGTGGAAGAAAATTTTTGCCAACTATGCATCTGACGAAGGTCCAATATCCAACATCTATAAGGAACTTAAACAAATTTACAAGAAAAAAACAAACATCCCCATAAAGTAATGGCCAAAGGACATGCACAGGTACTTCTCAAAAAAAAGATATACATGCGGCAACAGGCATATTTTTTAAAAAGCTCAACATCAGTAATCATTAGAGAAATGCAAATCAAAACCACAATGAGATACCATCTCACGAAAGTCAGAATGGTTATTATTAAAAAGTCAAAGGCCGGCCGCGGTGGCTTACGCCTGTAATCCCAGCACTTTGGGAAGCCGAGGCAGGAGGATCACAAGGTCAGGATATCCAGACCATGCTGGCTAACATGGTGAAACCCTCTCTCTACTAAAAATACAAAAAATTAGCCGGGTGTGGTGGTGGACGCCTGTAGTCCCAGCTACTCAGGAGGCTGAGGCAGGAGAATGGCGAGAACCCGGGAGGCGGAGCTTGCAGTGAGCCGAGATCACGCCACGGCACTCCAACATGGGCGACAGAGCGTGACTCCATCTCAATAAATAAATAAATAAATAAAAATAAAAATAAAAAGTCAAAAAATAACAGATGATGGTGAGGTTGTGGAGAAAAAGGAATGCTTATATACCATTAGTGGGAGTGTAAATTAATTCAGTCACTGTGGAAGACAGTGTGGCAATTCCTCAAAGAATGGAAAACAGAAATACCATTTGACCCAGCAATCTCATTACTCGGTATATACCCAAAGGAATATAAATCTTTCTATTATAAAGACACTTGCATGTGTATGTTCATTGCAGCACTATTCACAATAGCAAAGACATGGAATCAACCCAAATGCCCATCAGTGATAGAGTGGATAAAGAAAATGTTGTACATATACACCATGGAATACTATGTAGCCATAAAAAAAGAAAAAGAGCATGTCCTTTGCAGGAACATGGATAGAGCTGGAGGCCATTATCCTCAGCAAACTAACATGGGAACAGAAAACCAAATACTACAGGTTCTCACCTATAAGTGGGAGTTAAATGATGAAAACACAGGACACATGGAAGGGAACAACACACACTCGGGGCTATCAGAATATGGAGGGTGTGGGAGGAGGGAGGATGAAGAAAAATAGCTAAAAGGATACTCGGCTTAAGACCTGGGTGATGAAATAATGTATACAACAAACCCCCATGACACACCTTTACCTATGTTACAAAACTGCATATCCTGCACATGTACCACTCAACTTAAAAGTTAAAAAAGAAACAATGATGCAAGAGAGTGCAGCAGGGCACCTCCACAAGAGAGGACTGAGCGCTCCACAGTGGATTTTTCCTTAGAGGTATGTGTGGATTTTAAAGTAGGAGCTTACAGGTAATTTGGACCATAGTAGCCACGTAGGTCATGATAAATTATTACATTTTGGTGCCCAGATGTCAGCAAGGGTTGCACAATGGCACAATGAGTTTCAACATGCACACATTCCGGAGATGTAAAGAAATTCTAGTTATAAATTTTTGGGAAATAAATCTGGTACCAGATGCCTGCTTTAGGTAACAGAGAGGTCTATTTATTCTTAAAATGAGCTTCTTTGTTACACTAGGTTCCAAGGGGGAGAGGAGAGGAAAATATAGGGAAGAGCTATAGCGGACCTATAATGGACACACAACATGGGCAAAAAATAAACCATTGTTCTTTAAAGCCTCTAAAGTTTTGGGGGTCATTTGTCAACACAGAATTGCTTAATATAGCCTGACTGATACAACTATCAACTTTGAGTAATTCTAGCAATAATTTTTCAAAAAAGAAAAATTAACTATTCCTATTTTATAGTCCCTAATTTCCAGTTTTTAATTTTTGTATGGCCCTGACCTCTCACAGGGACATGGAAAAGGAAAGGCACAGGTTTCTGGACTATGAGTTGGTATCTCTTGTTATAAAGAAACTTATAAAGAATAAGTTTGCTTTCCTTGTTGTAGAGCTCAAATGTGTGCAGGGCTGATTTAAAGAGCAATTCTTGACAGGTGTTCAGCAGAGTTAAGTAATAGCTCCCTTATCACCACGTACAATGGGCTACCCATGTAATAGTGCTTTCAATTTCAATATATGCCACCTCAAATGAATTCATGAGGCAATAAGTCAGTAGTTTTCAACCTGTGCCTTCAAAATTTCATAAGGGAGGAAAGGCAGAGCAGCACATTCATTGCAGATTATCTTTCCAGGTCTAAATCAGGACCTCTACCATTCATAGACTGTCATTGTAAGAGAATATTCAGTTTCCTATCAATTTTCAACATCTTTGTAGACCTATTATAACCACCAGTGCAACTGTGGGCTTCAATCTAATTTACCCACATAGGGAGTTAGTTCATTTGCAAAAAGAGAAAACAATCTACAGCCATAATATGCTATAGAATTCACATTTTGAGATTGAAAAGACAGCTTTTTTACCATAAGGTAGAAATAACAACTACAATAAGAATAAATCTCTTTAATCTGCAAATATGAAGAGGTTAATGAAAACAATGTGAACCCTATTTTATGGCTTCAAGCCTTTACCTTTTCCTAGGTACATTGGTGGCCCAAAAAACACTGGATATGTATTAATGACTATAGTGAAACCATTGGCTCAATGTGTATTTCATGGCAGGAAAGCATGAATTCGAGGAGCCTTCCTGACAGTTGTACTCATGTGTTGGATATACACAAACGCACATCTCAACACAAGCATAGAATTAACCCCTTCTTTTTCTTTCAAGGAACCATTACTTCATCTATAGTTTTCTATCATTTTTCTTGAGGATGAGAGAATGGAAATAGTCACTTATCCTGGGCCAAATCTTCAGCATTGTTTATAGAAAAACTGCCTTTGTTAGTCTAAGAGAAAATAAAACACTGTTCTTTCCAACTCATTCTTTCCTCTATCACATCTTTTGGTAGTCCTAGAACAAAATTAGTTGGTTGTTTAGATAAAACAAAAATAATTGGTGGTCAGATTTCCAGAGGATGATTGTGGTTAATGTGTACATGCAGATCGCTTGAATTAAAAGAATAACATTTGCTCATCTAGTCATTGATGTTTCATCACCACAACCATCATGTTTTCTTTTGAAAGTCGTGGGAAGACTGGTTTTCTTATGAAGGCCTAATGTTAGTTTCTAACATACCTATTCAATTTGTCCATAGGTGATTTTTGGTATGTTATGAGGAAATTTTGGTTGGTTGATGACACTCTTAAAATCAGAGCCTATCTGGTGGTTTATCCTAATTCAGATACCCATGAACTCCTACTTCTTTACCAGATATTTAATGTAAGAATTCTTTAGTGTCAGTGTCAATAGCAAACCCAGATACCAAACATTACATATTCCTTACTCCAGCCATGGAATTGGGTATTCTGGCAAGAATTTCATTGTGTACACATAGATATTTAAATTTTTGCATGGTCCAATAGATAGCAAAAACACTGACTTTATAGTTTTGAAATCATTACCAATTCTCCTCCAAGATGAGAACCAAAAAAGAATAATGAATTTGGCAATTACAAATTACTACACAATTTAGAGAGCAGCTGCAGTAGAGTGAGTAATCAAAGCAGCAGCTTTCACTCGAGAGTACTCTTTCTAATAATAGGAAAAGTCCAACAGATTTAGAATTTTCAGGAACAGAAATATTCATTCCATATGCTACACAAATAATTATTGCACCATTTTCTCAAATAATTTATTGAGTGATTTAATGCTGTCATATCTTCCTGTATTTCATAATTGTTACACATATATTAAAATGGTCAGTTTTGCATTTCACTATGTTTGCAATTAAGCAGCTTTATATAATTGAAAAAATTAGAATGTTTCAAGTATCACAATATTAGCAAGATGACTAATAATCTATTAAAATTTAGAGTTCTATGCCCCAATTCCTTGACATATATTTTTCAATTTTTTTAATTTCAAAATTGCTATTGTACCCTTTCTCAAAACGAATAAATCACAAAAAAACATAAATATAGAGACTGAAATTATATAGACGAGGAACTAGTATTTTAAAAATTAGGTGTGTACTATTATCTCTGGAATTCTATGACAAACATTTTTCACAAGTACTCACCTTCTCATCCTAAATATTTATATAAACAACATAGTGGTCATTGCAACTATCTAAAACTATTTATTTTATTAAAGATGCATATTTATGCAATAGAAACAAACTTTTAATTAGTACCTTTCAAAAATAATGTCCAACCCAAGGTAGTATTTAGGTTGGTCAACTTTTAAGTATTGATGGAATTTCTGCATAAATTTTATTAATTGTTTGATCATCACTAGAAACAAATTAGTATGCTTTTTATTTTTCCAATAATTATTACAAAAGTAATTTCTCTCATTTTATTCAGATTACAAATAGATTATTTATAATTTATTATGCATGGTTCACAATGTGCCTTCTTAAAATGATGCATATTACAAATTTTAGTTAAATTTTATTTCTATTATCTAACAGCATGACCGCTTGGGATGTTTTTCCAAGCAGTTACATGCATAACTAGAGTACAAACTGCTCTTATGTACACTTCTACAAATCTAAATGGAAGTATTTTTCTTCTTAAACCAATGAAATCATTTTCATTAAACAGGCAGAAGAAAAAGATCTCCCTCTTTAGCAAATCACAATATAGATTTGAACATGTCCATAACACATTTTTGTAATAATCATATAATTAATTATAGTTTATTATATCAAAGAAGGCCCAACAGGAAATAGAGAAATCATATCTGGTATTTCAACACAGAAAAGTCCATATAAGGAATTAATTAATCATATACTAGAGAACTGGAAAAGTTAAAAGTAACTGAGGTAACACAGAGACAGTGCACATCTGGGGCTTGGTAAATGATGAGAGGAGGTAAGTGGAGCGCCCTACAAAGCTGAGACTCAAATCTCTGAAGCAGAGACATCCCTGAGTGTTCTGGGAAAGAGTACAGAAAGTGAGCACTGGAATCAGCTGTCACTGCCAGGGTGCAGGGTCCTTGCTGGGGCCATACTATCAAACCAACAAGCAAAAAGGACACAGCAAACATTTTCTCCCTCTCCAGCTTTCTGAGATCCTTCCTGTGCCACCAACTGATGAAGCCAATTAGGGAGTAGACCACAAAAAGGTCTCCACCCCAGCATCACAGTGTAGAAAGAAGAATGGGTTTGGCATTAATAAAAGAAATAGCTCAATAACTGACACTGCTGTCTTTTTTATTGTTATTATGGTAAAATTCTGCTTACAATCTGAGGATTTTGATTTTATGATACAATGTATGCTTTCAAAAATCGACTTTGATGTACATTATTTGTATATATTTTTATCAGTCTTACTATTTTATGCTTTTGAGTTATACTAAACACTTGTATAAAAAAAGAAACATTATATTTTTCTCAGTTCTTTTTAACCTGTTCTCAAGCTCCCTCTGGAATTGTCCACTTGAGAGAAAGGGACAGAAGTGTTTCGTATCCATGTTCACATCTGTGCACTTCTCTATCATGAAGGGCAAGGTGACTGGCTGGGCTGTGCCATTTGTCAAGTTTGTCAAGAAATGAGTGAGAAGTACACTTAGATGTAAGTTGCTCCTCTCTTATCCATGAAATAATCTATTTATCTATGTGTATTGCTATCGGATGACTAGTACAAACAACGATTGATTTTTCTATTAACACCATGTGCATTGGTTATATTTCAATTAAAAGCATGATATTCAAATAAAAGTACTAATGAAAATGTTTTCTTTACCACTATTTATATGTCAGAAAAAGTAGTTATTCCTATTCAAATCACTAGTGAGAATTTCTATGAAATATAGAAAGAAAATACCTTTGGCTTGAAATTTAAAAAACTGTACTTATGGTATGTTATTAGGAAAGTTATTAGGCTCATATTAAGAGTGGCATTTGTGGAAAATTTGAAATTTGAGACTTTCTCTTAGGTATAATTTGCTCATAAGCAACTAAAAAGCATACTAAGTAAGAAATGTTTAAATAAGGGTCTTGAGAAAAATTGCTTCCCAAGGGAAAGATCAGCTCAACTTAATTTATGTATTTCAATTTTGAATGTTGGTGGGTTTAGTTGTTTGTAAGTGGGACCCTAAGTTAAAATTTCTAAGTAGTTTTAAAGCAGTCCATAGATCTAAGGGAATGGGTAAGAAGAAGTTCTTTGCAATTGTATTCTATCTTGATTCCATTCTACGAACACTTAAAACTTGAAGAAATTTCTGTGACTGTATATTTTCAATTTAAAACAATTTAGGCCAGTCATGGCAGCTCACCCTTGTAATCCCAAAACTTTGGGAGGCAGTGGTGGGAGGATCATTTGGGACCAGGAGTTCCAGACCAGAATAGGAAACATAGCAACACACTGTATCTACAAAAAAAATTTAAAAATTAGCAAGGCATTGTGGTACATACATACTTATAGTCCTAGCTGCTTGGAAGGATGAGGTAGGAGAATTGTTTGAAGCCAGGAGTTTCTGAGATTACAGAGAGCTATGATTACAGTACCACACTCCAGCCTGGGTGACAGAGCAAGATCCTGTCTCTTAAAAAATAAAACATAAAAATAATTTTTTAAAATAAAATGTTTTGACCATAAAAATACTTTATCGTAAAATATATAAAGAAAAGTTCACAAGACAAATATGAAGCCCGGTGAATAACATAAAGCAATCATTTATGGTATCTCCACCAAGGTCAAAATCTTGGACACTGTCATCTATAGTAGGAAACCTCCAAGATAGACCTCAATAACACCTATCCCTTGTTAGTCATACTCTGAGTTTAATAACTTGTTCTAAAAAATGGAATGAAGCAGAAGTAATGGGATGACCCTTGTGTGATTAGGTAATAAAAAGACAGTGACTTCTCTCATGGTGTTCTCTCTTGTTCTCTCTTAAGTCATTCAGGCTGGGGAAGGCAGTTGCAATGTCAGGAGGCAGCCTTGGAAAGATACACTCACACGGGAACTTAGAAGTGTGTTATTTAGAGACCTGCCAAAACTGCATCAGTGAGTTTGGAAGAAGATATTTTAGCTCCACTGAGGCCTGAGATGACTGCCATCCAAATACCCTAATTTCAACTTCATAAAAGACCTTGAGCTACAGGTTCCCAGATTAACTGTGCCTGATTCTTGACCCATAGGAACTGATTAATAAGTATTTGTTATTTTCAGCTACTAATTTCTGGAATAATGTGTTATGCATCAATAGATAACAAATAGGCCATCACTCAAAAAGCCCCTTTATGTCCTCTCCTGATCATTTCCCTTCTGTTCTCCTACCTCCTTAAAAGGTAACTACTGTTGCTACTTCTAAGTAGTGTTTTCTCTGCTTTTGAGCTCTCTATGAATCCAGCAATACAGTTCATATTATTTTGTGTCTGGTTTCTTTTGCTCTACATTATATTGGTAAGATTCATTTGCATTACTGCATAGTTTCAGCTTGGGGCTCTTACAGGTTGTGAAAATTCTTATGTATATCTTTCGTCTCTGTTTACGTATTTCCAATTAGTATAAGCCTTCAACAGAATTTCTGTACCAAAAAACACAATATCTTAACATTGTTAAGTATGACAAACCGTTTTCTGAAGTGGTTGTACCAATTTACACTCCCAACATCAGTGTATTGAGGTTCTTATTGTCCCATATCCTCACCAAATTTTGCTATTTCTTGTTTTAATTTTAGCCCTTCTGTCATAGAAGTAGGGATATCTCAGTGTGGATATAAATTATATCTCCCTGATGAGTAATGTGGTTGAGTGTCCTTTGACTTCACTGCAGAGCGTTTCCAATTAATCTGAACAGTTGTAATTGATTTGTTGTAGTCTTTTATAAATTCTGGGTATAGACCCTCTTTTAGTTATGTATCTAGAACTACTTCACCCATTTTGGGGGGCTTCTTGTATGTTCCTCACATGGTATCTTCTGATAATAGAGTAGTTTTTATTTTAATTTGATTCCTGCCTATTTTGGGGGCTTAGAAGTTTTGTGACTAATATTACAAGTGTTTCCCTTTTCAACAGTCAAGATGATATGCCCCTATATTATCTTTATAAACTTTATTGTTCTACTTTTCATATTTAGATCTATCATCTACCAGGTCAGATTTCATTTTTACAATATGGATATATAGCTTACACAAAATAATCTATTGAAAAGACAACCTTTGCCATACAGCATTATGGTATTAAATGTGTCATAAATCAGGCAACTATATACACGAGGTATGTTTCTGGAATTTTAATTTGGTTTCAATGGCCTATATTTCTGTCCTGATGCCAATACCCCTGTCTTCATTAGTATAACAAGATGAATTCATTCTAGAGATCTGCTTCAAGGCATAGTATCTATAGTCAACAATACTGTTTTATGAACTTAAAAATTTGTTGAGAGTAAATCCCATGTTGAGTGTTCTTATCACACACACACATAAACACACACACACAGAGATACAAGAAATTTCTGGAGGTGATAGACATGTCTATTACCTTAATTATTATGACATTTTATGAGTGCATGCATATGTGCAAATGCATCAAATTGTATATATTAAATGTGGGGTTTACTGTATATCAATTATATTTCAAATAAAGCTTTGTAATAGAGCTTGAGTTTTGATAACTAATAATTTAGGTTTTCCAATTTTGTAATTTCTTTTCAACATTTAGTCCTTTGCATTCCCATATTTATTCTTCAATCAGCTTATCAATTTCTCTTAAACAATACTCTTCAGGATTCTGGTTAAGATTGCATTGTCTTTTTAAATCGGTTGCTAGAAAAGTGACATATTTGCAACACTTAGTCTTCCAATGCAAGACTATAGGACATTCCTGTGATTTTTAGACATTTTAATTTTTAGCCTTGTGTTTTGGCCTCCAGCTCTGTACAGCTTCGGAGTTCAGGGAACACACTGAGGACGAGACCACCTGTGTGCCTGAGCTCCCTGAAACCTCTAATTATGTCAATCCAGTCCCATGTGACCCCCCTCCCCCAAAAAATCTCTGCTTTTCCCTCTGTCCCCTAGCAGTTTGCCTATGTATGGGTTTACTTAGTTGTCTCAGCTTTTGTCTCAATCCTAGGACCAACAAATGGCTTCAGGGATGGCTGCATATCCTTAGCTCATCTCTGAAAATTTTTTCTCTTGCTGGAATCTTACTTTATTTAGTCCTTGTAGCTTCTGGGGTTCTCTTATGCCTTTAAATAAGTGATTTTATAATTTGTCCAGTTTTTCTAGTTGTTTTGGTCTGCCTTGAAAGGCTCTGTCTTATTGAGAGGTGAAAATGAGGATTTATATTTGATGTAGGCCAGCAGCCAGAGGCACCAGCATTTGGTGATCATCTTAATCCAGTTACCTGGATTGATATGGTTCAAAGCTGGGCTTCTATCTCTGTAAAAGTCAGGTTGGTTATTTCTTATTTCTGGATTGGCTTTTCTCTTACTGTGTAGTCGTTTGGAGGTCCTAATTCAAAGGATAGGGATTTGCTAGGGGCCTTTGCCTAGCATAGACTTGAATTTCTGTTCCTTGGCATTGCAAATGTACCCAACATTCTGATCAACTTATCACTGAAGGAATCTACAGATGCACCTACACTTAGGAGAGAAGTATGCCTAAATATTGGGTTTGTTTACTTTTTGGGTTTCTATCTCTTCCAGGATTTTGGCCCCATAATTCTTAATGCGTTGTTAAGTCTCCAGTGCCCCAGAGTCATTCTTGTATCTTTTTCCTCAGCTCGTCTTCCCAATAAGGAAACCTGATCACATTACCTAGTCAATATTTTTAAAATGCAAAATCATAAAAAAATTAATAAATTATTTTCATAATAAAATGGAATAATATTTTGGACAAGGTAGAATAAAATAAAGTAGTCTGATTTGGTTTGGCAGCATTTCATTTTGTATGTGTTGTTGTTTCAGTTTTTATGCTTTTGGCTACAATGTCAAATATCTCCTCTGTAAGTTCAAGTATTTGTAATAAATTTTTCACTTACAAAAAGTGGTAACAAGGACACATCAAAATATAGGAGATAACCTCTATTTTAATTTTTTGAGGTCCCAATTAAAGCCTTCATTTTGCTGGTCTTCTGCCAGCTTAAAAGACCACTTGAATATTTTAGCCTTGCACATGCTACCTGCTTTGCATTTATAAAACTCTCTCACAAAAATCTATAGTGTTCTCTTTAGGGACACAGTAGTATTCCCTTTTAATGTCAATAATACCTCAGTCCAGAGGACACAGTTCTATGTTTTACTGTTAAACATGAATGAACCATATGAATTAACACACACTAGAACCAAAAAAATCGAATCCATCATCTAAATATTTGTAATTCCCCTGTTATTTATGGGTATCACAATACTCTTGTTTACAATGTTTATATATCTATTTCCTATATAATTCTCACAACCTATGCATCAGGTGAAACTCCTTCAGCTCACCAGGAGATTTATCACTGCTAATTGAGTTAGCACATATTTGCAAAATATCACACATGCAGCCCTGTATTAGTTACCTATTGCTGTGTAACAATTTACAAAACTTAGCAGCTTAAAACAATGCACACTTATTGTCTAAATACTTAGGTCAGGAGTCCAGGCATGGTTTAACTGGATCCTCTATTTTAGGTCCTCTTACAGGCTGTAATTTACGTGTAATCTGGGAGATTGAGAACGTAATAGAGAAAGTCTGCTATTAAAAGGAAAGTCGTAATCTTTTGTAACCTAATCATGGAACTGACATCCCAGTACTTTTGCTGCCATAGTCTATTAGTTACAAGCAAGTTTCTAGGTTCAGCCTACATTCTTACAGAGGGAATTACATAAGGGCTACAATGCAAAAATTTGACATACGGAGGGAAGAACTGACAAGAAAATTTATGTACAACTGGGAATTAATGCTCTACATGATTAGTCATGTCTGATCAATCTTCCTGAAACAAATCTCTGATCATATCACTATTCTTGCTTAAAAATAATCATCAAAGATCCCCTTGCCTACAGTTATCCACAATCAGACCCCAATCTTCATTTTCAATTTATTTTATACTTTCTCTTACTGCTTCTCACAAATTTCATTTTCTAGCCCATGTTGCTAGCTGAATTCATAAGGTGCTTGCTTTGCATGTTTGTTCATGTTGTTCTCCCTGATTGAAATAGTATCTCCTTCTCTGGACATAAAGAGAGGGTTTTATCCTGGGAAACAGAAGGGGTAGTGGAGGGCATATTATTTCTCTCTTCAAATATTTAAAAAGGTAAGGCAGAACAAGTCACTGTGTGGAAGACTAAAAGGACAAGAATTAAGGCACAATGAAGAAATCCTGAGAGCCATCAAGGTTGTCCCATATTGAAATAAACTGACTCAAAATATGAGTTTTTCATTTTAAAGCATTCAAACAAATCATTTATACATGATGGGGATCAAGAGATTTATTTCTGTGTTGAGAGGGAGTTACAAGGAAGAGACTTCTAAGGTACCTTCCAACTATTAAGATTTCATGAATCCATGAATTTATATAAGAAATCAAAACTATTCTTATGACTTGCAAAGATAAGAAAAAATAAATGATTTACATGATAAAATTTAAAAAGAAATTATCCTTGATATTTTATTTTAAGCTGTGATTATTTTATATACTCAAGAATGTTCATTCTTCAATATTTTCCCTATTTGTGATTCATTTTTGTCATAATAAACTATAGAACAACCCAACATTCCAAATTAGAAAATAAATATATTTGTGATCAATATGCGCAAAAGCAAATTTTTAATTGTTTAAGAGGAGTTATGGTGCCATTTGAAAACTCTTTTCCAATCAAGTATGTCCCTAAGAAACTCTATAAAAGGAATTCGGTCTTTATTTTCACATAATCTTTTATCACTGTTCATTCTAAGTTTACTAATGAGACCAATATAAAGAAAACTCTTTTTCTTGCTTTAGAAAAAGTTACAGATAAAACAGCTGCCCATTCTTTTGTCACTACTTCACTGGATAAGTTGGAACAAGTGGTGCTATGAATTATGCATTGAATTATTGCATGGGTAAACAGACTTCTAAAAGTATGGTTTCACCTTTTTCAGAGATAAGATGGTTTGTAAGAGTAACCCACAACCCACCTTATCTGCTTTGTAATTCTGCTTTGGAAGAGAGATCAAGGGAATTAGTGTTATCCTTTCCTTGATGGAGCACCTGATTTAAAGTCCCTCCAGATGGTATCCAGTGGAGAACAAATTCATGGATGAAAACTGAAATGCTTTTTTAAAAAAGAAAAATGTTTGACAATTGTTTGTGGCTTACTTTATCTAAACTACAAGATGACTGAAGGCAGGCAGGCATCCTGTCTAATTTGTTTTTGTTGTGTGGCTCAGTAACCATCACACTCAGACAAACTTTTAAATAAATGTTTAATGAATCAGTAATTGTGTGAATAAATACGTGAGATTCAAACATGCCCCAGTGTGTGGATGGGCCTTGAAACTTTAGCTTCTGCTGAATTGTTTGTTACTATGCATCTTAGGATCATATATCACAAAAACAAGAAAACTTGAACAAGACTGAACATCAGTATATGCTAACTCTTTATTGAGGAGAAATAAAATTAGGTGTAAGCCTATCTGGCCAGGCTGTTTCTGTCAAATACATAGTGTTATCCAAGGCCAAATAAGGCAGACATAGTGGATTTGACTATTATGTAAATTTGGTTCCATAAGATGGAACACACTTGTGTAGATGAGAAGGATGCTTCCTTTAAAAGAAATGGAAATTTCCATCTTAGGAAGACAATTCTGGGACCTATGGAAATGGATTTTAGATTAAGGGAAGAAAATGTGTTCTACTCTTCCTGGAGCCTAGAATAGATATACATCAGGCTTTGCAATATAGCAAGAGATTAATCGCCCTGGCCACAAGGAAACGAGTCAGCAGTAGGACAGGAAGCAAGCCAGTAAGGGGGATCTGTGACTGGTCTGCACCTGGGCAGTTGTTGAATGTAGTCACTTTGTAATATACACCTTCTGCTTCCTGAAATGTTCAGTAAACTGTCATTAATATTTGCAATGCTTACTGTGCCTTGGGTTTGGAAAGAAATGTGTGCTAGTCACAATAACCAGGGCAGTAATCAAAGGATTGGTGATCCTGGTGCTCAGCAGCAATGGAATCAGCCCAGTGGACACATGAGGTGCAAGGCCAGAAAAAAAAAAAAAATCTCTGACATTTAGAGAGCAGCCATTTGTTAACAAGTTGCCTTGTCTGTAAAATGGGGCGATAATGCTTGTCTTTGCTTCCCTCCAGGAAAGTTATGAAATGTGAAATAATTAACGACTGTAATGTGTTTTGAATACCTAGCAAGAAACATGTTATATAAGCATATGATATCATGATTACCTCCATAATAAAAAGAAAATATTTAAAATAATAATAATATGTACATTTTAACACCTGCAGTTGCATATGAAATGTATAACCCTTTTTACTGTTTTCTGTCTAATACATTGCACCTGCATTAAAAATGTACCCCCATGGTTCAATTTTTAAAAATACATAAAATTTAGACAGGTACTTATTCTTTTATTCACCCCATTGTGCCTAAATCTCACAGAACATATTTTAAACAATATACTACCACAAAGAGACCACTTCAATACAAATCTCAATAGTGTGGGTTAATAAAAATTACTTTTAAAGGCAAACATCTGGCACCTCATAAATATATATCACCTTTCATCAAGAGTTGTTCAAACTCTCCCTATATATATTACACTTATAAGCATTATTAATTCAGCATATTGTACGATGGTTTTAGAGTAGTCCCAAAGCAGAATTACATATGTAAAATATGTGCTGCAATATCTAGGCCTGTGCAGATCATAAAGAACAAGACATTAACCACAATGCTAAATCCTTTTGATTTAATGTTTTCTGTTAGCTAGCAGGGGTGACTTTTTAAACACAGATACAAGAAAATACTATAGTTAAGCTTAAAGGCAGCTATTTAGTCTAATTTTTTTCTCTCTCTTGCGACATTTAGCAAATTATTCCAGGCCTACACTTAGCTCATGTCAAAAATGTGTCTTAAATATTTTACTCCAGTTTATTTGTACATATGAAACAAATTTTAAAAGATGATTTGCCTTTACAAAGTCTCTATCCATAACACCAAACTGATACTTCTTTTTTTTTCAGACGATATTGAAAATAAAGAATATTCTGTCATGCCCTTTGACCATTTTTCCTGCCATTAATGATCTTACTGTGAAATATTTATTCGTTGTAGTTCAGTTTTTATTTTTCCAAGGAAGTAAAGGCCAATTTTCTTGCTATGTGTTTAATAAGCACGGAAAACATATAATCAGTTTTATTGTTATATTTTATAATGGTATATATAAATATATATATAATATTATTATTTTGCCAGTTTAAATAGCACTTACTCCTTTAGCTGTTCCCAAGAAGTTGGCATTAGATACATTTGCTTGTATTTTCATATTTCTTTCTACTAATTTAAAAAGTGAATACCACAAAATGAGTGCATTAAAGCTGAGGATTGTGAAGGTCTGAGGCCTGATCTGGCATAGATTAAATAGACAGTCTGCCTTATTCATATCATAAGCCTGGCATTCTATCTAAAATTTCCCATTATTCATATATATATTTAAATCCTATTGACTTCCATGCACTAGCCTATGCAGTGAAGATACAGTGACAAATGAAACAGGCAGCCTTCTTAACCATATAGAACACTCCACATGAAAGAGAAAATGGAAAAAGATAAGTAAACAATTAAAACTTTAAAATTGTTTAAGTTCTCTAAGAAAAAACTATATAAGTGGCTGTGACCAAAAATTAAAAGGGACCTTAATTTGAATAAGATGCTCAGATATAACCTCAGTATCTAATGCTAAATATGTAATACTGATTTCTTGATTAAATGATGAATGGAAGAAACACATCTAACTTTTATCTCACAATCATATTAAAATGAATATCTAAATATCCAACTAGAGATTATTCTGTGTTCATATTAGAAAACATGGAAGAATAACAGTAAAATACAGAAACTTCAAGACAATTTTCTACATAAGGAGGAGTCCTACTTAACAATGATTTGCACAGATCATTGCTTGTCTGCACGCAAAGAAGCACCTTGCCCAGAAAATAAGGGAAGAGATTCTAAAAGAATTCACTAGTATCAATGGGTTGAAGGCCAAATTCATTACTTTAACACTAAGACAGCAATGTGTGATCCTTCTAGAGTCCTGTGAGGACCCTATTATTGTTTGCCTTAAGTGCCTAGATCCCATAGCACTTGCTCACAGTGTATCCTTGGAACTACCCCTGCTAAATAATGCCTGTGATAATAAACACAAAATGGTGATCTTTGATGCAGAAGGAAGTTTCGGGTTGTAAAGCCTGTATAGCAGTGGTGCTATCTCTACAAACTTCTGGTAATGAAACTCTGAACTGACAAGTGAAACTACAAAATATGAGAACCTTATCCGTCTCCCTTCATTTGAGCTTGAAAGACTCAGTCTTGAATCCTCTGAAAGGTCTCATTTCACATTAGAAAAGAATAATCTTGGAAAAATAACTGAAATTATTTGAAAGTTCAAAAAAGAGTAACTCAGACGAGCAGTCAAAAATATTAGGTGTTCTTACAAAACCCTAAAAAAATTAGTACAAGATCAATGTTTCTTTATAGGAGTCAAGGTAATAGTGGAACTATAAAACAGACAATCAAAGGGAAAATTTGATCCCAAAGGGATTACAAAGAGAAAAACAATATAAGCAATAAATTTAAAGCCTAAATGAAGCAGAGATCAACAGAATGAAAGAGCAGGAACTAATGATCAACACCAATTTGACTGCCACTATTAGCCAGCAGCCTCCTAGACACTGGGGTTACAGCAATGAATAAAACAAAGTCCCTTTTTTCAAGGAGCTCTCTTTTATATTCTACTGAAGAGAGACTGCCATAAACAAAATGAACAATTAAACATCTGCTACGTTAGAAGCTGATAAGTGCAACGAAAACTATATATAAAGGAAAAGGAACAAACATGGGGATGAGGTTATAATTTTTGACTGAGTAGTCAAGAAAGATCTCACTGAGAAGGTGACACTAGGACTTGATATTGTAGAAAGGATAGTGTGCGACTTCTGAGTCATAAAAGACATTGTAGCTTCCATCTTGATTTCTTGATTTCTTACAGCACTCATTCTGGCAATAGTCAGGTATCATGGCATGAAAACGCTCAACCAGTCTATGAAGAGGCAATCATGGAGAAGGAGGATACACATGGATTAGATAAAGGCCACCCATCTAGATATGACCCATGTATATGTGACCCATGTTGTGTGATGCATATGTGTGATATTTTTGTTATGTATATGTGGTGGCTTTTATCTAATCTATGCATATCCCTGTAAGCCTCTGAGTTTCATTTATCACAGAAAATGCTCTTGCCTTCACAGAGTTTATAGCAGTTTTATAGCCGTATTACTTCAAATTGTCAAACATATTATTCTCAGCGCAGTAAATTTAGCTTTAAAACTCATATCTAACAAAGTAACACACAACACATGCATGTAAACAATAGTACAATCATGCTTTTAAGGTAATCCAAAATGCAAGCTCATGCCTTTCAAAAATTTATTAAAAGAATGATACTTCATATCCAACTAATGTGTATACAGGAAGGAAAGCGTGGTTTCACCTAGATTAATTTTAAAATACTTCAATACATTAAAGGAAATATGAACAAATTGTCTCCTAGAAAAATGACGAAAAGACACCCAAGAAAGCGTCATCCTTAGAAAATTAAATCTAGAATATTTATTCAACATGTAAAGGACATAAGGCCTATGATAGCCACTTATCATACCACATTATTTTGAAAGTTCTTGTCAATTATATGCATAACAGTAGAAATAATTTGTAAGGAAAGAATTCCAGAACATCCCATTATCTACCTTAAAAATGCAGAAAATATTCAACTTAAAATCACTTTAAAAAGAACACTTTATATTATGGCTGTAAAATATAAATATGAGGAAATCAAAAGCTTTCATTGATACTAATGGTGTCTAAGATGTCAGTCACTATAGCAACCAAGTTCTAGAATATATAAAAATAAATTGTATAGTTGGCCCTCTGTATCTGTGGGTTCCATATCCATGGATTCAACCAACTACAGATAGAAGCTATTCAAAAAAGATAAAAGAAAAATTGCATTATACTGCATATGTACATATGTTTATATCTTGTCATTATTATTCTAACAGTACAGTATAATAATTATTCACACAACATTTACATTATATTAGATATTATAAGTAATCTAGAACTGATTTAAAGTATATTGGGATGATGTGCTTAGGTTATATGAAAACACTACTCCATTTTATATAAGGGCCTTGAGTGTCCATGGATTTTGATATCCATGGGGGTTTTGGAACTAACCTACCATAGATATCAAGGGATGACTGTTTAAGAAATACTTGTGGCCACATCAAGTGGCTCACACCTGTAATCCCAGCACTTTGGGAGACTAAGGTAGGAACATTGCTTGGACCCAGAAGTTTGAGACCAGCCTGGGCAGTACAATGAGACCCTAACTCTTAAAAAAAAAAATCAAAAATTTAGCTGGCCATTGTGGCACGTGCCCATGGACCTAGCTACTCAAGAGGCTGAGGCAGGAGGATTGTGTGAGCCCAGGTTTGCACCACTGCACTCCAACCTGGGAGACAGAGGGAGACCTTGTCTCAAAAAAAAAAAAAAAAAGTAAAGAAAACAAAATGAAAGAAATGTTTATATAAAGAGTACCACAAAATTTTACTAAGGAAAAAAAACCATTTTAAAAGTTAAGTAAAAGTAGAGGGACATGTCAGATTTCTGGATTAGAAGATGGGATGGTATAGATGTACAAATTTTCCTAAAATTACCTGTAAATATCATGAAATGTTAATCAATACATCAAAAGAATATATTTCAAACATGACAAAAATAATTCTAAGCTATGAGAAAAATAAATTGTATTATCTTTGTGCCTTCTCTCCTAAAGAATGCCATGTTTGAGGAAGCATATGGACTATATTATACACCTCACTGAAGAAGATATCACATATATAAATGAACAGAAAACTAGTATGTGACTGTTGTTAGTGAGCTGCATATCTTGATAGGCAACATATTCCATACTATATTTTTGCAGTTCTACTAATTAGGCAACCAATGTTTCAAAATGTAATGTGCATAAATATATCTTGGTACTTAGAATAGCAAATAAAAAGGAGAGAATCTCTCTTGACCAAATTTCAATTTCTAAGTTAATCTTTTATAAATGGGAAGTAGGACAAACACTAATCCATATTGAGGACTTCTAATTTTCTAGGTACTTTACGTATATTTTGTCATTTAATCTTAACACCAACACCATGAGATAGATAAACCAATAGTTCCACAAGAAAACTGAAACTCAGAGAAATGAAACACCAGTTATTCAACTACTTATTGGTAAATTCAGTCAATCCCAAGATTTTCTGGCTCTCTAAATTCAGACCCCTTCAATTTGCCATTTTTTAGTGGTTTAATTGCTTATATCTCTTACATCATTTTTTAATATTCTTATTTCAAATAGTATGATTTCTACTTTGGTCATTCTCTTCATCATGTCTGCCGATTCTCATGTTGGTTTACTTCCCATGCATTAGCAATTTTTGATTAGTGAAATTTTATTTATCTACAGCATATCCGCCTACTATGTATCTATATTTATTTATTATTTAGAAAGCCCTAGAGTTGTGGAAATGCCACTTCAGATATGTCTTTGGTTGTTTTGTTTTTTTTGTTTTTCAGGGAAATTTTAAGAAGTTTAATAACCCTGGCACAATTTATATGTTGAATTCTTGGCATGTTGTTCTAAAACCATGCAGTGTGTGTACTTTATCATCTTATACTCACATTTAAGATAAACTTGAGATTTTGATTTCTCTTCAGTGACATTTCCTCTTCAAAGATAGAGACACAAGAAATACCCTTACTGCTTTTTAGAAGAAAGGATGCAGTGAGGAGTGCTGAGTTTTATTCAGGCTCTTGCCTCCTAAAGCCCTGAGGCTACGCCATTCATCCTTGTGTGTCTTTACAAGCTTCGGAACCCACTTTTCCAGCCCGGATATGACCCCCCAGAATTCTATTTCCTGAGCCACCTTGGTGTCAGCCTCAATCTACTACTTTTGGACTGGTTTTGTGCTTGATTCCAAGTAAATGTGGATTAATTTTTTGTTGTTTTCAGTTCAGATATCCAACTTTTTAAATCTAGCATTTCCAGACAGGAATAAAGGGGCATTTCCTCTTCTCTCCCCCTCCATATGAACTGACACTTAACACCCCATGCTCTTCTCATCGTTTTTGCCCCCATGATCTAAGAATTATTCCTCTCTACTCTCATCTAGTTTTCTTAAAATTCACAAACAAACATTTTCTAATCCCTTACTTTTTTCCTTATTTTTTTTTATTTCTTTAATCTTTTCCTCCTTTCCTGGGTGCCTTCTCTTCTTTACTATCTCCAACATCAGCCAGTCCACTTCTCCCCACTTTTCTTTCACTTTTCATGTAACTTATCCATTAGTGATTAATTTTGTTTGGTTTTCTCTTGTTATACAAGGACATAAGTCACAACTGAAATATTTTTTGTGTGTGCTTCATTGGTTAGATTGGAACACTACAAAAATGCAACCAAAATGGGGCCTAAGGGATCAAATTATTATGAAAAATTAATTAAGTTAATTAACTGTAACTTGGAATTTGAATGCACAGAACTCTTTCAGGTAATTAGCACTCCTATAGGCTAGGGATTGTATTTTTAGGGTGGAATAAATTGTGAAGTTTGAACTGAAGTCAGGTAATTTATGAAAAAAACTATTGCCCCTTGTTAAGATCTAAATAAATATCAGCCATGTCAGTTTTAAATATAAGATCTGTTAAACTATGCCAAGGTAGCTTTTCAAGGGAAGATATTCTGTTAAAGTCAATTCTCATTCTACTTTAGAGAACTAGTTAAAACTTTCAGAAAAAAATCTTATTAATATAGGGATCAATTCATCATTTGGAGATCATCTTGGGTCAAAAACTCAGTTTGTACAATAGAAAAAAATTTTAGCTCACAGTTATTCTGTGCTATGTGCCAGGGACTATTCTAAGTGACTTATCTCCAATCATTTAGTATTTTCTAAAACTACTCTAAGTAATAGATCATGCTATCATTTCATTTTGTGAGGAAACTGAGGCACAGTCAGGTTAGGTAAGTTGTTCCAGGTCACATAGGTATTGGATTTTGGAGTTAATATTTTAAATTAAGTAAACTCACTCCAGGTATGGGGCTTTTTCAAAAAAAAAAAAAAAAAAGCACTTTTTAAAATAGTTCTTTTCTTCCTATTTTTTTTTTCTTAGAGCTAAAAATTCCAAACACTAAAATTAGGCTTTCTTAATCCTAAGTGGTAATTGGGTGAGTTTTCCTGTGGAAAAACAATTCTGACTTCCATAGTGTTTAGGAAATAATGCGATCTGAGAGTGAGAGAATAATTTAAAGCTAATGCTATGTGAAATATTTCATAAAATATGAGAAAAATGACACTTTAAGAACTATAAGTCTAATGCAACTGCATTAGAAGAACCATGAAATCCATGGATAATTAATATTAATCCAAGAAAGAGAATAAGACTTGTCCACATCCTATCTATAGAAATAAATGTAGATGTTAGTATACTGGTGTAAATGTGTACGTGTATTTCTTAGCTCTGTCTACTGAAAAGGCCAGGAGGTAATGAGACCCAAGTAACAATGAGCATCCTCAGTGCCTCAATCTTCATTTATTAATGCTACAGTCCAACAAATGAAATGAGTGCTTCTGGAGAAATGGCTGATTCCAGAGTGCTTATGTTATTCATTTGCAATACTGTTAAGCTCATTTATATTCTTTGTATTATATTTTAGGCTCTCCCACTCAAATCCTGGTTTCTTTTAATTTTTTTAATTATTTCTTTAAAATAAATAATTTGGGAGGATGTTAACATTGTGAGGATATGTTAAACAGCAACATGGTTCTACAAGTAAAAACTATGCAAACAGTTATAATCATACAACTAATACTCCCTACTCATGCCATCTACCATCACCCCGATTCTTTCCATCTCATTCCTACCCTCTAAGTAGCCAATCTCATTAGTTTCTGCTTTATCCTTCCTTAACTTCTGTTTACGAAAATGAGAATATACATGTATATTTCCATGTGCCGCTACTTTCTGCAATAAAGGGTAGAAAACTATAGATATTCTTTTCACTTTGTTTCTTTTACATAACAATATATCCTGGAAATCAATCTATGTCAGTTCTAAGAGACACTTCTTATTTTTTATAGCTGCATAATATTCTATTATGTAAGTGTATCACTTTATTTATTTATTTATTAAATCATCATCCCATGTATGAGCATTTAGGTTTTTCTGATATTTTGTAATAAACAATGCAGTAATGAATAATATTGTCAATGTGTATTTTTATATTGTCGGAGGTCTATTTTCAAGATGATTTCCTAGTAGTCAGATTGCTCACTGTAATAGGTTGAACGGTGGCCTCAAAGAAGATATGTCCACGTATTCATCTTCAGAACCTGTGAATGTTGCTTTGTTTGAGAAAAGAGTTTTTGCAAATATAATTAAGTTAAATATCTTGAGATGGAAAAGACTATCACGAATCATCTAGGTGTTCTCTAGACCACCTAGGTCTAAAAGATAAGGACCCTTTTAACAAAAGGGCAGAAGGAGGCTTCAGATTGACATAAAAGACAGAGAAAAGAAGTCAATGTGATCACAGAGACAGAGACTGGAGTGACGTGGCCACAAATCACAAATGTCAATAGCGTCGAGAAGCTGGAAGAGACCAAGAACTGATTCTTCCCTGGAACCTGCAGAGGGAGTGTGGTCCTGTTAATACTTTTGATTTTTTTTTGAATTCTGGTCTCTGAAGTTGTGAGGGAATAATTTTTCTTGTTTTTAAGCCAAAAGGGTTGTACCAGATAACATTCACACTGGTAAAGAGATTACCTGTTCCTCAACAGCCTCACCAACAGAATATATTGTCATACTTATAAATTTTTGCCAAATCTAATCGGTTCTATTGGTGTTCTTTTAATTTACATTTATCTGTGAGTTAGATTAAACACTTTTCATATGCTTAAATGCCATTATTCTTTCTTCTTTGTTAAGTATCTTTCATATATTTTCCCAATATTTCCATCATGTTTTGGCCCTTTAATCCTCAATTCATTTTGTTAATTTTTATTATATATTGACAATTTATAGTTGTGTATGTTTATGGGATACAGAGAAGTGCTATAACTTTTTAACACAATGTTGAATGGTTAAATTAAATAAATTATATTAATCAGTTCAAATGTTTAACATTTTTGTGATGAGAACACTAAAACTTTATTCTCTTTGCAATATTAAATCATACAATACTCAATTATTAGCTATATTCAGCATGCTGTTATGGATCTCAAAAAAAAATCAAATTTATTCCACCTATCTAACAGAATTTATATCCTGTAACTATTATCTCCCCATTTCCCCCACCCACTAGCCTCTGATAAATACAATTCTACTCTTTACTTTTATTAGTTCGACTGTTTTAGATTCCACATACAAGTAAAAATATGTGGTATTTGTTTTTCTATGGTTTATTTTACTTAGCATAATGTTTTCCAGTTCTACCCATATTGTCACAAATGGTGGAATTTCTTCCTTTTATAAAGCTGAGTTGTATTTCACTGTGTATATGTACCAGATTTTCTTTTTCTTTTTTTTTTTTTTTTTTTTGAGACGGAGTCTCGCTCTGTCACCCAGGCTGGAGTGCAGTGGCGCGATCTCTGCTCACAGCAAGCTCCGCCTCCCAGGTTCATGCCATTCTCCTGCCTCAGCCTCCCGAGTAGAGTAGCTGGGATTACAGGCGCCCGCCACCAGGCCAGGCTAATTTTTGTATTTTTAGTAGAGACGGGGATTTCACCGTGTTAGCCAGGATGGTCTCGATCTCCTGACCTCGTGATCCGCCCGCCGCGGCCTCCCAAAGTGCTGGGATTACAGGCGTGAGCCACCGCGCCCGACCCAGATTTTCTTTATCCATTTGTCCCTGGACGGACACAGGTTGCTCTCATAACTTGGCTATTGGGAAGAGTGCTGCAATGAATACCAGAGTGCAGAAATCTCTCAGACATACTGACTCCAAAGCTTTTGGGTAAATGCACTGAACTATGACTCTAATTTTTAAGAGTTCTTTATGTATTAGGGCTATTTTTCTGTTGTCTATGATATATTCTGCAAATATTTTCGTACAGTTTGTCAATTGTCTTTTGACTTTGTTTATAGTGTTTTCACCATACTTTTTTCTTTCCTCATTTTTCTGTAGTTAAATGTATCAACCTTTTAAAAATCACCTCTGGATTTTGATTCATGATTAGAAAGACTTTCCGTCCATCAAGTTAAAGAGAAACTCATTCAATGAATTCTAGTTTTCTTCTAGTACTTATTTATTTCTACTACTTGTATGGTTTTATTTTTATACTTTTGTATCTTCCATCTGGAGTTTATTCTATAATTTGCACTTGACTGATACCGTTTGGTGCATTCCTATACTTTCATAATTTCTAAATCCCCTGTTTTAGATGTGTGTCTTCTATATATCATATAGCTGAATTATGATTTGGGGATGCAAAATAAAAATACTTTCTTTTAATAGATAAGCCCATTCACATTTATTGACATGACTGAGACAGCTGGTTTCAACTCCGTAATATTTAATAATTACGTACATTTTATCTTATTTGCAGTGTTTTTATTAAAATGTGTACTTTTGCTTTTTAAAAACCTTATGTTTGTATGCAAGAAGATTTGTATTTTTATTCTAGTGATTATCTTTTTTAGTTAGACCTTTATACATGCACTTTCTTTAACCTCTTAATTTACCTTAATCTACTTTCTTCTTTTCTTGTTTTTCCTTTTATAGAGCATTAATTTTGAGTTTTTCACAACATCCATCAATGTGCATTAGTAGTCCACTCATTCTACTTTTGTTTTAGATCTAGAATTACATATATTAAAATATTTACCGTCAGTCTTTTTGCTAAAGCATTGCCAGCGATACATCAGCTGAGTGAAGATTATCCTGTAGTATATTCTTCAAGAAAAGATTATGGGTACAAAATCCCTAAGTTATTGCACGTTCAAAACTGTTTTTATATAGCTTTGATAATTGAAGGACAGTTTGGCTGGATATAATCCTTAATTAACTTTTTTTCACTGAGTTGTTTGAAAATCTGCTCAATTTTTGTCTTGCTTATGTTGTTTTTAAAAAGTCTGATGCTTGTCAAATTCTATTGACTTATAATTTATATGATCTTTTTACCTGGAGATCTTGAGGATATTTTCTTTATCTTTGAAGTCTAATCATTTTACTGTGACATTTCTTAAAGTTGACCATTCTGTGTTAATTTTTCCAGGCACCTAACGGGACCCTTTAATATATACATTCAACTCTTACTTTATCTGGAAAGTTTTTGTCTTAGATTATAGTTTAAATATTAGTTACATTTCATTGTTAACCCTTTCAGGGACATCAATTACATAAATGTCATTGTTCTTACTCTTTTTACTTCTGTTCTTATCCCATTTTTTATCTTATTGGTTGTTACCCCTTTCTTCAGTTCCTCTATTAAATTTTCATTTTATTTTGCATCTAATATTTTTTTCGTTATCTCAAAGATAATTTTGTCTCTTTCTTCTATTCCTTTCCTGAGTACAACCAATTGTATTTTTCTTTCATCCTATTATTTGTCCATTTCTGGTCTTAGTTTTTAAATTTCTGATTCAAACTGCTTCTTGATAACTCCAATGCTTGTCTGATTATATTTTACTTTCAAATGTTTCCTTCTGTGTATTTTTACAAAGAGTGAGAAAGTAAAGGGGTGACTTTCAGTGTTTTAAATCTATTATTCTTTACAATATCTCTGTATACACTTATTGAAATTTTATGTTTTTATTTCTGTGGTTTGGAATGAATAATATAATTCTGAATTCAATGAAAGCTTTTCTCAGTGTTTCAAAGTCTAGATTCTTCAATGGGCTTTACTCTACGCTAGGACAAAAGGTTGAGTAGTGTGCCTCTGGTATTTTTTCTAATACCTTGTATGGCCTTGAATTTTCTCTTTTGTGTATTTTCCCTCTTCAGCACAGAATTTCCAAAATTTTCTTCTTCGTTCTTTTTTACCTTTTTCTGACCCAGAAGCTAAGCCTTTCAAAATCTGCCACTTCAAATAATGTACAATTTTAAGTTACATTCTTGTAGTCCACACTCTTATCCGTCAAAAGTTTATTTTATAATAATTTCACAGTAAGAGTGAAATTACATATTCTGGTAATAGTTTTATCTCAACCTCAGGTTATTGGTATTTCTCTCTTCTCTCTTCCTCACAGTTTTTCTCTACCTACCCTTACTCACACAAAGATGTGCATCAGGGCAACTCCTGGAGTAATCACTTGCTGGGATTAGATGGTTTGCCTTTTTTTCTTACATTTACTTTAACATTTAGCAACCTCTGTCTTTAAGTTATACTAAGGGGTTTGTTTTGTGTTTTTTTTATTATTAAACATCAAGTTCTGGGGTACATGTGCAGAACATGCATGTTTGTTACATAGGTATACATGCGCCATGGTGGTTTGTGGCACCCATCAACCCGTCATCTACATTAGGTATTTCTCCTAATGCTATCCTTCCCATAACCCCCGAACCCCTGACAGACCTCCCTGTGTCCATGTGTTCTCATTGTTCAACTCCCACTTATGAGTGAGAACACGTGGTGTTTGGTTTTCTGTTCTTGCATTAGTTTGCTGAGAATGATGGTTTCCAGTGTCATCCATGTCCCTGCAAAGGATACGAACTCATCCTTTTTTATGGCTGCATAGTATTCCATGGTGTATATGTGCCACATTTTCTTTATCCACTATCATTTATGGGCATTTGGGTTGGTTCCAAGTCTTTGCTATTGTGAACAATGCTGCAATAAACATACATGTGCATGTGTCTTTGTAGTAGAATTATTCATAATACTTTGGGTATATACTCGGTAATGGGATTGCTGGGTCAAATGGTATTTCTAGTTCTGGATCCTTGAGGAATTGCCACATTGTCTTCCACAGTGGTTGAACTAATTTACACTCCCACCAACAGTGTAAAAGTGTTCCTATTTCTCCACATCCTCTCCAGCATCTATTGTTTCTTGACTTTTTAATGACAACCATTCTAACTTGCATGAGATGGTATCTCATTTTGGTTTTGATTTGCATTCCTCTAATGACCAGTGATGTTGAGCTTTTTATCATATGTTTGTTGGCTGCATAAAACTCTTCTTTTGAGAAATGTATGTTTATATCCACTTTTTGATGGGGTTGTTTGTTTCTTTCTTGTAAATCTATTTAAGTTCTTTGTAGATGCTGGATATTCGCCCTTTGTCAGATGGATAGATTGCAAAATTTTTCTCCCATTCTTAAGGTTGCCTGTTCACTCTAACGACAGTTTCTTTTGCTGTGCAGAAGCTCTTTAATCAGATCCCATTTGTCGATTTTGGCTTTTGTTGCCATTGCTTTTGGTGTTTTAGTCATGAAGTCTTTGCCCATGCCAATGTCCTGAATGGTATTGTCTAAGTTTTCTTTTAGGGTTTTTATGGCTTTTATGTCTCATATTTAAGTTTTTAATCCATCTTGAGTTAATTTTTGTATAAACTGTAAGGAAGGGATCCAGTTTCAGCTGTCTGCCTATAGCTAGCCCGTTTTCCCAACACCATTTATTAAATAGGGAATCCTTTCCCCATTGCTTGTTTTTGTCAGGTTTGTCAAAGATCAGATGGTTGTAGAAGTGTGGCATTATTTCTGAGGCCTCTGTTCTGTTCCACTGGTCTATATATCTGTTTTGGTACCAGTACCATGCTGTTTTGGTTACTGTAGCCTTGTAGTATAGTTTGAAGTCATGTAGTGTGATGCCTCCTACTTTGTTTTTTCTGCTTAGGATTGTCTTGGCTATGTGGCCTCTTTTTTGGTTCCACATGAAATTTAAAGTAGTTTTTTTCCAATTCTGTGAAGAAAGTCAATGGTAGCTTGATCGGGATAGCATTAAATCTATAAATTACTTTGGGCAGTATGAACATTTTGACGACATTGATTCTTTCTATCCATGAGCATGGAATGTTTTTCCATTTGTTTATGTCCTCTCTTATTTCCTTGAGCAGTGGTTTGTAGTTCTCCTTGAAGAGGTCCTTCAGATCCTTGCAAGTTGTATTCCTAGATATTTTTTTCTCTTAGTAGCAATTGTGAATGGGATTTTACTCATGATTTGGCTGTCTGTTATTGGTGTATAAAAATGTTTGTGATTTTTGCACATTGATTTTGTATCCTAAGACTTTGCTCAATTTGCTTATCAGCTTAAGGAGATTTTGGGCTAAGACAATGGAGTTTTCTAAATATACAATCATGTCATCTGCAAACAGAGACAATTTGACTTCCTCTTTTCCTACTTGAATACCCTTTATTTCTTTCTCTTGCCTGATTGCTCTGGCCAGAACTTGCAATACTATGTTGAATGGGAGTGGTGAGAGAGGGCAACCTTGTCTTGTGCTGTTTTTCAAACAGAATTCTTCCAGTTTTTGCCCATTCAGTATGATATTGGCTGTGGGTTTGTCATAAATAGCTCTTATTATTTTGAGATACGTTCCATCAATGCCTACTTTATTGAGAGTTTTTAGCATGAAGCGCTGTTGAATTTTGTCAAGGACTTTTCTGCATCTATTGAGATAATCATGTAGTTTTTGTCATTGTTTCTGTTTATGTGATGAATTACATTATTGATTTGCATATGTTGAACCAGCCTTGCATCCCAGGAATAAAGCCAACTTGATTGTGGTGGATAAGCTTTTTGATGTACTGCTGGATTCAGTTTGCCAGTATTTTATTGAGGATTTTCGCATTGTGTTCATCAGGGATATTGGCCTGAAATTTTTCTCTTGTTGTGTCTCTGCCAGACTTTGGTATCAGGATGATGCTGGCCTCATAAAATGAGTTTGGGAGGATTCCCTCTATTTCTATTGTTTGGAATAGTTTCAGAAGGAATGGTACCAGCTCTTCTTTGTACCTCTGGCAGAATTCATCTGTGAATCTGTCTGGTCCTGGATTTTTTTTGAGTGGTAGACTATTAATTGCTGCCTCAATTTCAGAACTTGTTATTGGTTTATTCAGGATTCGACTTCTTCCTGGTTTAGTCTTGGGAATATGTATATATTCAGGAATGTAACCATTTCTTCTGGATTTTCTAGGTTATTTTTGTAGAGGTGTTTATAGTATTCTCTGATGATGGTTTGTATTCCTGTGGGATCTGTGGTGATAGCCCCTTTATCATTTTTCATTGCATCTATTTGATTCTTCTCCTTTCTTCTTTATTATTTTGGTTAGTAGTCTATCTATTTTGTTGATCTTTTCAAAAAACCAGCTTCTGGATTCATTGATTTTTTGAAGGAATTTTCGTGTCTCTCTCTCCTTCAGTTCTGTTCTGATCTTAGTTATTTCTTGTCTTCTGCTAGCTTTTGAATTTGTTTGCTCTTGCTTCTCTAGTTCTTTTAATTGTGGTGTTAGGATGTTGATTTTAGATCTTCCCTGCTTTCTCTTGTGGGCATTTAGTGCTATGAATTTCCCTCTACACACTGCTGTAAATGTGTCTCAAAGATTCCGGTACGTTGTGTCTTTGTTCTCATTGGTTTCAAAGAGCATCTTTATTTCTGCCTTCATTTTGATATTTACCCAGAAGTCATTCAGAAGCAGGTTGTTCAGTTTCCATGTAGTTGTGTGGTTTTGAGTGAGTTTCTTAAACCTGAGTTCCAATTTGATTGCACTGTGGTCTGAGAGACTGTTTGTTATGATTTCCGTTCTACTGCATTTGCTGAGGAGTGTTTTACATTCGATTATGTGGTCAGTTTTAGAATCAGTGCAATGTGGTGCTGAGAAGAATGTATATTCTGTTGATTTGGGGTCAAGAGTTCTGTAGATGTCTATTAGGTCCTCTTGGTTCACAGCCGAGTTCAAGTCCTGGATATCCTTGTTAATTTCTGTCTCATTGATCTGTCTAATATTGACAGTGGGGTGTTAAAGTCTCCCACTATTATTGTGTGGGAGTTCCTAATCTCTTTGTATGTCTCTAAGAACTTGCTTTATGAATCTGGATGCTCTTGTATTGGGTGCATATATATTTAGGATAGTTAGCTCTTCTTGTCACATTGATCCCTTTACCATTATGTAATGCCTTTCTTTGTCTCTTTTGATCTTTGTATGCTTAAAGTCTGTTTTATTAGAGACTAGGATTGCAACCCCTGCTTTTTGTTTTGTTTTGTTTTCCATTTGCTTGGTAAATATTCCTCCATCCCTTTATTTTGAGCCTATGTGTGTCTTTGCATGCGAGATACAGCACAACGATGGGTCTTGACTCTTTATCCAATTTGCCCATCTGTGTCTTTTGTTTTTATTCTGTTGTTCCATTTTGGTTTTTGATAAAATGTTGGGAGATGTAAACCTAGGCAACTGCCATTGTCCTGAACTACACAGATTTGCAAATAAAAATATTAAAGCATGATATTATACCTGAAATATATACTATGATGAAAAGAATATTAAGATAAAGTCATTATCATAAATATATACTATCACAAAAAGGGGATTAAGATGAAACGATTATCATAAACAAACAAAACATAAATTTGTGAATATAAGGTGTTTAATCATTCTTCAGTTTTTAGCCTTATGTTCTAAATAATGTTTCCCTGAACATGATATGATATATTTATAACTGTTTTAATTTTTGAATCTTGGGCCCCTCATTTTTTGTTTTGCATTTGGCCACCCAAATTATGCAGCAAGATCTGAGTTCTAATGAAGGTACTAACAGACTCATGATAGTAGCTTCCATTTCTACCTCCTTCATCAACTCAAAATAACTGATAAGTTCCATCATCCCTTACTTCTTATTCACTTATTCTTTTCCAGCAAAGGTTTATTGTTGAGTTATAAATTCCATGATCTTTGAGCTATTAAAGTCTTTATTTATTGAATATCTCATAACATTTTTCCACTTCAATTTTCTTAAGCTTGGCCATTTATCTGCAACTTAGTGAGTAGAATAGCTATACCTTGACTTGTTAACACATTGAACTAAAATGGTATTTATTTTACATCAGATATCTTAAATGTCTTTATTTCCTCTTTATTCAATTTGCTCTTTAAATTGGTACAGTATACCTTTGTTCCTTGAACCTTCATTTTCACGGTTCAACAATGATCTAATTGCCAAACTCAGCACACCTTCCCTGGTTTTTCACATTCTCCTTGACAATATTTCCATTGTTGACCATTTCTTTTCTACTAAAAATTTTCTCTCAACTTGCTTTCATGATATAACATTTATACCTTTCCCCTCTTACTTCTCTGATATTTTCCTGCTCAGTCTTCCTTTTTGTGGTTCTATATAAAGCATAAACCATAAGGCTCAAACCTCACTCAAGAGAAAAAAGAAGTAGGAGAATTTAAAGGAAGAACGTATGCGTAGTATCCAGAATCAAAAGGAGTTCTGAACTGACAAGGTCTCACGATTCAAATACAGAAATTTGGGAACCTTTCTCTAGGTTTTTGCTATCAGAGTGATTCAGATGCAGTGACTCGTAACATTCTGTGAAGTTTCAGATTCCAGAAGGAAAGATCTGATTGAAACATCTAATAAAACTAGAAATAGAGCCATGGCCCTAGAGGCTGAAAAACCCCAAGTTGATGTCTATTATAAGTATTCACTCTAAGAGTCAACTGCACTCCGACAAGAAATAAATATTTCTGAATTTTTACTCCATTCTGTGTGATATAGTTTACAACAGACAATGAAAACTTAGCCAGTAAGTACCCAGAGAAGAGTGGTAGAATCTAAAAAACAATTTCCCAGATAAGGGAAGAGTTGCGGGGAAGAAAATATACCTTAACAGTTTTTAATATCTTATCATTATTATGAGGTAGAAAAACTCAGTGAATTTTTATAGCTCCAGTCAACAGAAAGGACTATCACAATGTAAAATATGTGTCCTCATATTTCAGAAGCCCAAAGTAAGAAGGAACTTTTTTTCTATTACAAAGTTTTTCATTAATAATCTTAGGAGAATTTAAACACACAATAAATATTATGAGTAAATTCCAATTTTACTCTCACCAGAGACGTTAAAATTGAAGATTAACAATTATCTATGATGAATATTCTAGAGAAACATGCTGATACTAGTTGAAATCCATAGTAAGCATTGTCAAATAATATAGTTACATAATGTTGACATTGGACTAGGTCTTAGATAATCTAGCCTACTTCCATAATTCTATAAATGAACAATGGGAACTCTATAAACTATGCGGCCACAGGGTTGGTTAGTGACAGAACCAGAACAGAAATACCATCTAGGAGTGCTCCACAAACATGGAACATAGTGTAATATCTATAATGAGCAGAGGGACATAATGGATCACAAACAGGAACACTGGTTAATCTTAGTCCTTAATGTCAAAAGTTATTCTGACAGGCTCAAGCTATAAAGTTTGCTCTTATGTGAGGAAATAGCCTAAGTTGGCATTTTTTTCTAGCAAAGATAATAAAAAATGTTTACATAATTTTTAAAATATAAAAGTAATATAAACCAATACCAAAAAAAATGTGCCAAATAGAAGAAAGAAAAAATCACTGGAATCTACTTCCATTTGAGTGGAAGAAATCCACTCAAATACAATTATTTTGGTCCTCTGGCTTATTTAATTTCAACACTTATTTATAATATGTGTGTTTTTACATGTACATGCACACAACATATACACATGCATATGCTCTTCATATATAAAAAACCTGCATCTTTATTTTTACTCTTCTTCTAACTATGATCACATCATCTTAAGTAGTTCCTTGCTTCTCCTTTAAATGAGTTATCAAAGAACAATTTTAAGAAACTAAAATCTTAACGAAGTATTTTTAAAGGAAGTTATAGAATATAATAGCATTTTTCATATTATAACAATGCTCAGGTATGTCTATATCCATATTTAACTTAAGAAGATTCTTTACTCACACTTACATTTTCTACGATTCCTTCTGGTTTTTCAAATCTACTGTTACTCAACTGCTGATAAGGATTCTAAATGATGATAATATATAGATTACATATTTTATTTTGACTTAAAATATATAAATGAACATTTATTCACCCACCTTTTGATGTAAGAAATTTTAAAAAAATTCAGCTCTACTGACTGGACAATATATTATTTGTAAATTCTACCCTTTTTCTGAAGCAGAGTGAAAACTTAAAACACTTTTCTAAATATCTGAGTGCAAAATCTTTCTAAATTTTTTTCTTTTTAAATTTGTTATTATCATTTGTACATAAAACTATGGAAATTTTTGGTGATTAGCTATTGAGTCTTTTCAAAGTATTTAACTTAGTTTTCATAGACCCAACTCTTTTCACATTTATATTTCATTATCTTTGTATTATGGAATTATATTTTGTAATTACAATTGTTATAAGCAGGTTTAATAAAAAATTCAACTGGCTCTTATTAAGCATATGAATCTTCAGTGGGAACAGAAGTGCACTGGTACACTAGACTACCTGTAATGAATCTGTGCTATGACTTGGGCAGCATTTAGTGTCATTTGCAGAGGGACTCTGAGGGTCTGTTACGTTCAGTAGAGTCTGAGTAAGAGAACTTCTACTTTATTTGGGGTAAGATAACATATTAACATATAAACAAGTATATAAAATATAGTAGAAATCACTATAGAAACAGGTGTGAAATACATATATCAGGTTTTATATATGTGTGTATATATATACACACACACATACATATATATGTATATCACAATGTCTAGTAATGTAATTGACAGTATATCATAAAAGAGTTCAGAAAGAACTTTTCAAGCATAAAGGTATTGAGAGGTAACAGTTTTTCTCTACTCCCAATATTTCCTTCCATGTAACAGTAAATAAATTAGTGGAACACCCTATCCTCTCTGCCCCTTTACCACAACCATTCAAGGAAAATGGAAGACCTTTTTTTTTTTTTTCTCTTTTAACTTCAGCAGTATATGTGCAAGTTTGTTACATAGGTAAATTTGCATCATGGAGGTTTGTTGTACAGATTATTTCATCATCCAGGTATTAAGCCTAGTACCCATTATTTATTTTTCCTGATCCTTTCACTCCTCCCACCCTCCACCCTCTGATAAGTTCCAATGTGTGTTGTTCCTCTCTCTGTGTTCATGTGTTCTCATCATTTAGCTCACAGTTATAGGTGAGGTCATGCAGTATTTGGTTTTCTGTTCCTGCGTTAATTTGCTAAGGATAATAGCCTTCAGCTCCGTCCATGTCGCTGCAAAGGACATGATCTCATTTTTTTTATGGCTGCATAGCATTCCATGGTGTATATGTACAAGGTTTTCTTTATCTAGTCTATTATTGATGGGCATTTAGGTTGGTTCCATCGAAGACCTTTTTTCATTGGAAAATTTGAGCTCAGCATTTCCCTTCTTCCCTTTTGATAAATGGGCCTGCTCTCCCAAGATAAGGTTTTGCCCCAAGGTATAGAGAGATCTTGCTCCAGCCCAGAGATGCCTATGGTTTGGGATATGATGTTAAGAAGCACATGTGTCATAATCTTCAACATACCATTTATCAGTGATAAAGGTGATATTTGGGCTCTCGTTTGCTTATTTATGTTCTTGTTTGTTTGTTTGTTTCTTTTGCTGGTTCAGAACTTGAGCGAAGAAGAGGGTTCTAAGTGGAGGCCCCTGCAAAGATTCAAGCAAGGAGATGAAGGAAGGCTTGGTAAATGATATGATACTTCAAAGACATGGGGTGAGAAAAATGAAAAGTCCTGAGTACTCACCTATTTTATTGAATTGCCTGAATTGCTTTTAAGAAGTCTGTTGTTCCCAATTCTTTGCTGATCCATTTTCCACTCTATTGCCACAGTAACCTTTCTTTAAAATGTGACTATGACTATGTATCTCATTTAGTTCCTCAGCATAGCATTCAGGGCCCTTTATGGCTAGGGCGACTGCATATCCTATTTTGTTCAGGAAAGTACCAATTTAAACATACTGCTTCAGTGTAATTATTTACAGTGTACCCCTTGACTCTCAAAGTGTTCCAGTTTCAACAAATTATATTGTCAGTATTTATGATCTATCTGTTGCCTACCCTTTCAGTCTCATTTCTTCTTACCCTCACAGGTCCATCCAACAACAATCCACTCAGGAATTCCAAATAATGCATGTATATTATCTCCTCTGGCCCTTTGTCAAAGCTGCTTCTTTTAGTAGGATGTCTTTCCTCCTTTCCCTCACTTGGTAAAATCCTACTCTTTCATTATGGCCCAGATCCAAGGCCACACCTTCTGTTGTTTTCAATGACTCCTTCTCTACCCTTCCAAATTTGTACAGCCTCTGTGTCTACCATTGGTACAAAATGTACTTTGAGGCTCTAATGCACTGGTACGTTTTGATCAATGTATCCAATGTAATTTTTACTAAGACGGAGTATACACAATGTTAAACAGTGTCTATTGAGTGAACACTGAGCTGAGAGAGTCCTTCATTATGGCACAGAGCTAGGTACAAGATGCTCTTTGGAATAGTTAATTAGAGTTTAGTGTTCAGCGGGTGACAGGGAACAAGCTCAGGTTAAGTGTGACGTGTGAGAGCTCTCCCTGGTGAGTATATAGCAGTACTTGTTTAGATGGGCAGTACACAGTCCAAGTCCAACGGAAGCCTGGGCTAGAGAACAGTAAATCCTTTTATAGACATTGTGAGACATTGTTATACTGTGGTAATGATTACATTGTAATTGTTGCTAACCTGTTTAGTGTTCTTTGGAGTCTTTTAATCATTTCAAGTGTGCTGTCAAAAGTTCTAGTGTTCACAACTATGCTGACAAAAAAAAAAAATGAAGAGCTACTGATACATTAAGAGCGAGCATAGGCTTGTACAGGGCATATAGAGTGAGAGCTTAATAAATGCTAGCTACCCCTGCCTGGAAAATAGTTATGTACTAGTAAGCCATAGAGATACCATGGGAACTGATAAACTGGTGTAATTTTTTGTCTGTGGGGAAAAATGTGCAGAAATAAAGTGAAAAAAATTTCGAATAAAAGTCTCCCCAAACAGCTTTTCAGCCACAGCAGACTGAGTCACTAGCCCCAGTTCTCACAATTTGTTTCAAGCAGGTTTGGGTACTGAGGGACTGACACAGTGGTCACATCTCTCGTTAGTGTACTTCCTTGGGAATAGTTGTCAAACTTAAATGTCTTTTCATGATCTCTCTCTATATATATCTTTCTTTCATTTTATTATTTATTTACTTATTTATTTCATTTTTTGAGACAGAGTCTCGCCCTGTCACCCAGGCTGGAGTGCAGTGGCGCCATCTCGACTCACTGCAAGCTCCGCCTCCCGGGTTCTCGCCATTCTCCTTCCTCAGCTTCCCAAGTAGCTGGGACTACAGGAGCCCGCCACCACGCCCGGCTAATTTTTTGTATTTTTAGTAGAGGCGGAGGTTTCACTGTGTAAGCCAGGATGCTCTCGATCTCCTGACCTCGTGATCCGCCCGCCTCGGCCTCCCAAAGTGCTAGGATTAGAGGTGTGAGCCATCACGCCCGGCCCTTTCTGTATTTTTGAAGAATTCTAGGTATTTACCTGGCAAGCACTATTTTCTGTAACAATTTTCGCAGTCAAAGCTTCTATACCCTCTGATTCACAACGGGATAGAAAATAATTTCCTATATTCCCCCTTCACTGTATTCCTCAAGCAAATATACAACATTTTGAATGTTTTATTACAATGTTATTACTATTAATGAAGGAAAAAAAAGAATAACCTCTTTACCATACTCTGTGAAAAATTTTAAAAAATACTCCTCCATAAAGGCTAATGGATTTGGGTATACAAATAATAGAAATAAATTCCATTCACTTTTGAGAAGAAAATCATTCTGAGAATATTTGAGCATTTCTTCACTGCTAGGGCTAGGGGTCAGTGAAGGGAGGTAAAGTTGGGAACATAACAGCTGTAGAAGTAGTAGCAGAAGGTTACTGAAAAATCAGCTTTAGAATCATTTCTTCTTCTTCTATTTCATTGCTCTTGCCCAGAGAAACATTCATCTTGCCAAACAAATTTTGATTCAGTTTCCTCATGATAAGGGTAATTATGTTACCAATTTCATAGGGTTGTTGTGAAAATTAAACATGATAATAAATGCAAAACACTATAAACAATTCATTGCACGTTAAGAACTCAATAATGTTAGTCTTTATTACTGCCATTACTTTAATTTTTATTATCCTTACCCTAGACGCATACTAAGGCAGAATAAAAAACTGGGTGAATAGTGTGATGTGTATGGGGTGAGATAGGGAGAAGACAACCCTGTACTGAGACAAGAGATTGCAGATAAATGGAGAAAAATGAAAAAAATACAAAAACACTCTACCAGCAGAAAAGGGAAGACCCCCACATTCATTGGTATAGGAGTATACATGTTCCGTGTTTGATTTCAGCTTGGGGGTCAAAAGTATATTGGCCGTAATGTGGTGATAGGGCAAAAGGAGGTATTGAGGCAGGGTGGAAGTGTAATCAGAAAAAGTAGGAAAGCAAGATGGTACAGAATACAGGTCACAGCACATGAAGGACATTGCTGAAAAAGAGCATAGATAATTAGGCCACTTCCAAGCCAAGCACCTAAAACCGAAGAGGAGAAGGTATACGAACAAATTATTCTTCCCTGACAAGAATATGGTAGCAGTGCAGGAACATCAGTGCAAAGCAGAGACAGAGACCTTCCTGCCATTCCAGGAGATACATTGTAAAATTGAGAGAGTTTATGAGTGGACAGGTATTCAGGGTTTAGTTCATGTGAAATGAATTGAACTAAAACAGGAAAGAAGCATAACCCTAGTCAAAAAGAGCCAAGACACTCACATTCTTTAGGAACCAATGTGACGTGTGCTCATAAAAGGATGGAATCAAGTAATTCGCTTAGGCTCCCAGGGAAGGTTTTTTAAGACCTACTGTTGCCACCCAATCAGACAGTAAAATGTTTCCAGGAACATCTTATGATTAATTAACTGGGCATTTATCTCTTAAGAAAATGAGAAGCAACTCCTCCACATAGCTGAATGCCCAATTGACTCACTTGATTGAGGCTAAGATAGTGAAGTCCCTATATATAGTGAAGCATTTACGTTCATGTGGACATGCTTACTATACAGTTCCTGTCTCACTATAAAGGCTGAATAAATGTTGACTGTACCTAAGCCAGAGTACATATGCATCTTAGTCATATTTAATCCCAATATAGAACAGTGATTGATGGGCGAATTTCTAGTACATTGGCAGGAGTAAAGATGGATATATTTTGGAGACAAGCAGACTTTTGCATCTTTTCAAATCCCATTGAAACCTGTGTGTGCCTAGGAACCAATCTTAACACAGACAGTTTTTTTAGGAGGTTCTTGGAGTTTCCAAGAATGCCACAAAAAAGTAATATAGACACTGTATTCTACACTCCCTGGGGAAAGTAAGTCAACTCTCTTACATTTGTTGAGAAAATAGTCTGAAATTGTGAGGTCTTGAAAGAGTCACCTAAATTATCTCATGCAATTGAATGAACTATTAAAATTTTATAATTTGGGGGATAGAGGATATATTAAAATTCTTATTTGCTAAAATTAGGCTAAAGTAAGCAGGTACAAAACTTTAAATTCTTATATAAAAATAAAATATATATGCAATTTGGCTAACAATATATTTGGAAGAACTTTGAACTTGTGTGAAGTTTGAAAAATGAAGTTCATGGTTAGCTGAGAATAAGGGCCAGCTTTATTTTATCCATCATTGTAATGCAGCTATCAATATCTTTTCAAGTAACCTCAAGTTCTCTGAACTCGTCTGGATTTAACTCAGGTTTCTAATGGCATTTTAACATTTTACACAGTGGTTTAATAATACAGAGTCTTCAGCTAAAAAAAATTAGGAACAGATGGTGAGAATGGACTCATTCCCATTCCTGATGTGCACTTTATTATACTACTTTCAAAGAGTGACCTAAAGCACATTCCAAAAATGTACAGTAGGTGTGTGAATTGCATCTCTTGAGAAATGACTATTTGGTGCAGTATTCCTTTAACTATTGCTATTCCTAGCTCTGTTTCATTACGTATGAGGTAACTTTAGGTAGAAAACAAAGTAAATTTATATCCGGGGATGCAAATGCCAATAAAAAATTTATAATCTATAAATGATTTTTAATATCAAATCTTTTTTGATAAAAGCCTATTCCCTAATGTTTAAAAAGTGCTTTTACATCACTCAATATCAACCACAATAGGATACTTTCTAAAGTTCCCTATTCCAAAAATTATGAGCTGGTAAGATGAAAATAATACAGGTTGAGTATCTCTAATCTGAAAATTTTAAATTCAGAATGCTACAAAATCTGAAGCCTTATGAACAGCAACAGGATGCCACAAATAAAAATTTTCACACCCTACCTCATGTAACAGGTACACAAAATTATTTAAAATGTATAAAATTACCTTTAGGCTATGTTTATAAGGTTTATATGAAGAATAAATGTATTTTGTGTTTAGACTTGGGTCCCATCCCCAAAATATTTTATTTTGTATACAAATGTTCCCAAATCTGACAAAAATTCAAAATCCAAAACCCTTCTGGTCCCAAGCATTTAGGATAAAGGATACTCAACCTGTAATAGCAATAGCTAATATTAAGTGAGTAGTTGTTATGTGCCAAGCACTATTTTAAATACTGTATATTTTTCAATGCCATTTTTTGATCAAGATATCCCCAACTTTAGAAAATAAATTTTGAGGTATAAATTTATTCCCAATTCATATAAGAGAAAACAAAAACACAAAGAAATTAAGTATTTTGCCTGAGTTCCTAAAGTTCATAAATAACATACTCTGTTAGATGGCGATTAATACTAACATTTAATCGTGAATAGAATAGGACATGTTTAAAGGTACATCTACAGAGTAAAATAAATTGGTTGATCTTCTAACATATTTATTACTAGATTACAGTATACTCTGCCATCTAGAAATATAGATGGGCTTATGAAAATCTTCTCCAAGTATACCACTGACTCAATGCACTCCCACTGTATTCCGACCAAAAAATCACCATAAAATTGTCTTTAAAATTTGATATTCTGCTTCTTCTGTCATAGTTATTTTACTAGAATAATAAACAGTGTGGAGGTTTGGGGAGGCTGATGCATCTTTATAGTAGTAATATCTTGCTATAAGCACTTTGCTTGTCTATGAACATTTTACTTTGCTTGGCAAGACTGGGGAATAGCTAGACATATATGCAAAAACAATAATCCAGATCTGATTCTGCACTGAAATTCCACATAGACACTGCTACAGTGATCCTGAAAGAGTGAATATCTGTGTTCCTGAGTCACATATCCTTTTAGAGAGATTTAAAAATAACATTTTGTGTTTGAACAGTAAATATTTTCTTCAAGTAGCTTACAAAATGTCATACTTGCTTGAGAAATACAAGATTGATAATGAAACAAGAGACCTTTACCTTTATTTTATCATGTAACCAAGGATTGGCTTGCACCTCCTATGGATTTAAAATTTAGGAAGATTGCACTGACTTAGGCTTATAATTAGTTCTTGTTAACATTGTATAGTGCATAAAGCAGTGGTTCTCAAATGTTAGTGTATATCAGAAATCCTGGATGGTTGTTAATAATCCTTACTGGGGAACCTACTCCCAGAGTTTCTGATTCAGTAGGCCTCAAATAAGGCTGATGAATTTGCAGCTCCAAGTTCCCAGGTGATGCTGATACTGCTAGTTGCAAGACCACACTTTGAGTACCACAACTGAGTGTGTACTACAAGAGTCTTAAAACCAAGTATCAATTATTGGAATGAAATTTGCCTATAAGTTCTAATGTCTTTGTTCTCTCTTAGAAATAATTGATACTAATATGTATTAGCTGGCTGTTTTATATAAATGTATATACATTTTACCCCTTTCTTTTTTATAGGATGGTTGCCCTATAAATGCTTCTATACTGGGCCCTTGAATCACAAATTTTAAAAAGTAGAAATGCAAAATTTTATGAAGGAATACATCTAAATATATAAATCATCCTTTCTGCAGTACCACGGTTCTTAGGTGGCAGTTTTGCTCAAATGAATAGACTTTTTTTTAGTTGAGAAAATGATAATCTGTTTCAAGTTGCTCTTCTTTCTAATTAAATAATACTAGAAAGAATTATCATCTGCAGCTTTCCCAAGCATATAGAGACTATATAAAGAAACTGATACATATTTCTACATGAGTCCTATTATTTTATTTTTTATATATTGTCATTTCTTTTAGTGGTCTTAGAGCATTGTCAGTAAAGATCTGCATAGCACACTTCCTCTCAGCTTTTGAGATCAACTTTTTGTTAACACTTAGATATGCCTTCCCTTCTCAAGGAGGATTATCCTATAAACTTAACCTTTGAATTAAAGATATTTATTGACTAACAATGTAAACAGGAAAAACTTTAAAATCTCAACAGAAATTATTTTCTCTTTAAATACTTTATTACTTTTTATTTTACAGCAACTCACATTTATGGCTTAATATGGAACTCATTTTACAGACTGTTGACATGTTATTGCTAATGAAACCAGTAAGATATTCTCTTTATAACTCTAAACATAGCTATGTTATCAAGGTACAGTATCTAACAAAATGCTTACAAACTTAAAAACAAAAAAAAGTCTAACATCTGTTTCCAAAGTAACTTTGCAGTCACTAAGAGTAAAACCATATTACTATCAAGAGACACAAAAGAAAACCAGAAGAGTTGTATTTTCTCAGCTTGTTTGTATTGTGAAACACAGTTAAACAAATAGCATCTCCCTTTCACGGCTCAGAATCCCAGCCAATAATACAGCTGAGGCTGAAACTATTTGAAAGGAAGCTGCGGCTTTTGTTGGGATCTGGCTGAATGACATTGCTTGGTGGAAAGCAAAAGTGCTCTTGCTTTACCACAAATACTTTACAAGGCAAGGAAATTTCGAGAGGGACGACAGCAGAAACTATTAGAAGATTAATGAGGATCCCCACAGCCTGTTCTTTTAAGGATTGCCAGGAACTCTTTCATCAAGCATATTTACAGGGGAAGTGAATCTACTGCAAAAAATTATATATATTTACTATACATATATAGAGAGAGAAATGAAAGGCTTTTCTTTAAGCCTGCTTTAAGGTAAGAGATCCTAAACAAAAGATTAATGGCATGTTATCAACAATGAAAGACTCAAAAGAAAAAACCCACTAAGGAGAAAATCTATGAAAACTTTCATTGTGCGTGCTAATTAGCCATTTTGCTCTTCAATGCCAAACAAACTCCTGTTTTGTTTTGTTTTGTTTTTTCTCACAAACATAAAGAAAGTAATGTAGGAGGAAAGTGAAATATATCATACTAAGAATGTGTTAATATGCATGTTAAATCATATTAAGTCTGATTTAACTGTAATATGTTGTCTTTCCACAATAAGATGTAAACTTACAAGTTCATTACATAAAACTCACAAGAACAAAATGGATATAATGTTTTTTCAACTTTTAAAATTGCAACAAGTTTAATATTAAGTTTATATGCTGCCTATGCTGACAATATAAAACTTATTTTTTTTTTTTTTAGAAACAGACTGACCAGGTTTAAATCTGTTAACGGTTTAGTGCAGAAAAATAATTTTAAATGTATCTGTCCTCTCCCTTTTTGAATGAATCCTTCTTTAAAACATGGTAATAAAGTACTCTGACTTTAAAGGCTCCCTCTGTGCAGCAGCAGGCAAAACACAAAAGTAATTTCATTTACTAAAAGGAATTGAAAATAAGATATATCACTAGAAAATAAGAATAAATATAAATTTATGTATGGACTTCAAGTCATTTGGGAGGTATTTCAAATATTGATTTTCTCTTCCATGTCATAATATAAGAGATAGTCTTCTCTCACTTTAAAATTTTGAGAAATAAAGAGCTCTTCACAGTTTAAGCATTTTTAAAATTACCTAGGGCTTTTAGCAGATATTTGATAATTGTTTAAGATGTTAATTATCTTTCTAATGATTAACTGACCCAACTTAATAGTCTCTCCACTAGGATAAATCACCCATATTCTAGAAAAATATAACCAAACTCTTAGCATCTCTATTTGGGTTCCCAATGGGCATTTCAAAATTACCAAGTTCAAAACAGAAATCTTGACTCAACAGCAGCCTCAGATCTACCCCACCCCTAAAACGTCTTCTGCTTTTAGATGTCCTCATTCACACTTGATATTACCTTGATGATCACCCCAAAATGTAAAAGGCAAAATTAATTCATCTCTTTAATAATACCCCACATCAAATCCATCTGCTTAATCTAGGGGTTATATACTTCTCACATACTTCTCAGATCAGACCATTTCCATGAACACTGACCATCTTGATCATTACCATCTTCTCTCGCCTGAAATACTAGAATAGCCTCCTAACCTGTTACCCAGTTTCCATCACTGGATTTCACATGACTCATTTTCTACATGCTAGTCAGGGCAAATTTTCAAAAATGTAAATCAAGTCATGTTACTCCTTGGATTAAATCTTTCCAATGGTTTCTCATTGCAGAAACTATTGGAAAGCACTCAAGGAATACCATTAAGTACTTCAAAGTAGCGGATAACAACAACAATAAATATCTAATCTCGTTGTGTAAGCCTACAATCTACTGCTTGATTCAGTCGGTCTGCTTAACCATTCACTACACTTCAACCAAACAGACTTTGCCAAGCTCATTTTCTCAGATAGAACTTTTCATATTTCTCTTAAATCCTACAAATTCCTTGCCCTAATTATTCAAAAGCCTGGCTCTTTGTAATAATTCAGGCCTCAAGTCAAACGTCACCTTCTGAAACAGACCTTTATTGGCCATCTCACTTATGGCAGATCTCTCTTCCTTTCTACTCCAGCCACTTCTGATCCTATATGCCAGTGTTATTATTATAGAACTTATTACCATCTGAAAGTACGTAAACTTTTTTTTTTTTTTTTGAGTTGGAGTCTCGCTCTGTCGCCCAGGCTGGAGTGCAGTGGCGCGATGTCGGCTCACTGCAAGCTCCGCCTCCCGGGTTCACGCCATTCTCCTGCCTCAGCCTTCGGAGTAGCTGGGACTACAGGCTTCCGCCACCACGCCCGGCTAATTTTTTTATATTTTTAGTAGAGACGGGGTTTCACCATGTTAGCCAGGATAATCTCAATCTCCTGACTTCGTGATCCGCCCCCCTCAGCCTCCCAAAATGCTGGGATTACAGGTGTGAACCACAGTGCCTGGTAACTCACGTAAACTTTTAAAGATCCAAACAAACATGCAGTAGGCTGATTCATTTGAACAGTATAGACTAACTCCAGAATTAATGTATTAATAATAGTCATTGCCTTTAATGAAGGTTACACAATTCCCTTAAAGTCAATATAATAATTTTTGAAATTTGACAGCTCAAGAAAAAATAGAAAGAGGCTTAAAATCTGTTCAAGTATGTTATGAATAGCAAAGATACAATGTACTCTTAGAAAATGTATCCGTGTAAAATGAACATGATTATGATTTGATTTGTGCAGTCTTGTATATATGATTACTCTAAATATTGCTTGTTAATTCTTAGAATTATATTAAATATGCTAAAGCAAGATTGTTTAATATCCCTTGTGATTTCCATGAGAAATAAATGTCGTTTTCATTTGGCTAGTGGAAAATATGAACACAAGTTCAATACTAATTTACATAACGTACTGTGCTGTTTCCAAAGGCTCAAGAATATGCATTTTTTTCCACATAGTAGTAATCCCTTCCACTTTATAGTATGAAAATCCCATCATATATATTATCTCATTTGTGCCTCATAACAATCATCTGAGTTAAGCAGAGCATTGTACTATTTCATTCCTTCAAATGAGGGAAAAAGAAAACTGGGGATCAAAAAGTTGCATATTATAATTTTTTCCAAATTGCACGGCTAGAGAATGAACAAACCTACTGTATAGCCCAGGGTTTAAATTTTTATCCCAGCACTCTTTTCATTGTATCATCCACCTCTGTTAATTTCCTGACAGGTAGCACAGGAAGTAATTAAAGAACAGTGCCTTGAGCTATGGCTGCCCACAGAAGCATCATGGCATCCATGTTTCCCTGCAACAGCAGATCCAGTTATGACTCCAAGAAGGAAGTAACTCTTTTAAACACAAGGGGATGAAAACTTCTCGTGTATCATCAAAGTGAAAAAGAGAATGCTAATTCTACGAAGAGAAAGCAGCTGCCATTAGACACACATCTCTCAGAATCAAAGGGCAAAGAGCAGCTGGAATCCTCTCCCAGACAGCAGTTTCCAGAACATATTGAAGTGAAGCACAGCTTTCTATAGACATCATTTGATAAAGATTCAGTATTTAAAGATTCCTCATTGAAGGAGAAGAAAAAAAAATACACACACACAGGAAAAGACTGAGAGCCTTGTATTACAAGGCATAAAGCTTGCTCAGACAGATTTGGGCAAAACAAACTTGAGACAGAAAGATCAGAATCCAAATTGGACTATATCACATTGCTAAATGAATATCACAAGTCTTCTGTGAGGAGAATTTGGAAAGTGATATCAGAACCAATATTATACTTATTTGACTATACTGTAAATTATATATAATCTTTCTTTAATTTATAGACCCAATTACTCTGGACAAATAAATCTGCTATCTTCATTAAATTGTACTGCAATGAACCTTCTCTGAGTACATTTTTATGAAGATACCTGGACAACACAGGTCCTATTAGAGCAAAAATTCTGAAGCCCAGATGTGATGAGATTAATTAGTCAGTAAACCCACCCTATACCATTCTGAATGAGGTTTATTTCTGTTTGTCTTAGGCTGATTATTTCCCTCCACTAATGACCATTTTATCTCTCAAGGCCAGGATTATATACGACTGCATCCTTCCAAGCTCCCAAACTGCTTCCTTCCTTACTATCCTGGGCCTAGGTGTGATAATAATTTGGCTGCTACAAAGGCCTAGATTACTGAAATATCCATTGTGGTAACTAGACACCTACACCTTGATAATTAGTACCTCTGTAAATAAATCATCCTAGAAGTAACCTATTTTCAAGTGCCATCTGTTTCCTATTGGGACTTTTAACAGATACAGCCCCACATGGTACCCACAGAGTACAATACTTTCAATACTTTCTGTTATCTAGTCCTCATCACATCCATAACAGTTATCAAATAATATTTCCTGTTTTACATTAATAAAACTCCAGCTCATAGAGTTTAAACAATTAATATACTGCCATACATATAGTAAGAGGTAATGCTAGAATTTTGATAATAGTATAGTCTGAGCCAAAATCACTGATGTGTCTACCATAGTGTATTGACTCATAATTTTTTATTATATATATTCTCACAAATATATGCTTTATTTTTACGAAGATTTTTATAAAGGTACAGATGTTTTAGTGAAAAAGATTGTAGAATGATATGATTTGGCTGTGTCCCCATCCAAATCTCATCTTGAATTGTAGCTCCCATAATTCCCACGTGTTGTGGGAGGGACCTGGTGGGAGGTAATTGAATCATGGGGGTGGGTCTTTCCCATGCTGTTTTCATGATAGTGAATAAATCTCACAAGATCTGATGGTTCTATAAAGGGGAGTTCCCCTGCACATGCTCTCTTGCCCGCCACCGTGTAAGATGTGCCTTTGCTTCTCCTTTACCTTTGCCATGATTGTGAGGCCTCCCCAGCTATGTGGAACTGCAAGTCCATTAAACCTCTTTCCTTTCTAAATTACCCAGTCTTGAGTAGGTCTTTATTAGCAGTGTGAGACTGATGTAATACATAGAGGTAACCTATCTTGACTCCTTTATAAATAAATGAGGTAAGAAAACTAAGAAATAATGTACCTTGCTCAAATTCACAAAGATGTTGACTGCCACCTTAGCATCCTACATACACTTTAATTAAAGACATATGTAGTATTCAATGACTTAGTTATGCAGAGAGGTGAAGTGACTTGCCAAAGTGACATTCTTAAAGGTAAAGACCACGATTCTTATCATTTCCAAGCACCTGTTTTAAGAGTTGTAGGACAGTAGATGCTCATAACTCTGCATACAAAGAGAAAATAAAATTTTTGTTAATTTAATGTATCCATTAATTATTTAACTGGCTATATTATAGATGTGATTAGAAATAACAAATCAATTTATGAAAGTAATAGTAATTTAAAGGAACATAATTGACATTTTTAAATACTATATTTCTTTTTGTTACCTTCACATTATATTTAGAGTATCACTGATCAAATGAGGAAGAATTCTGATATTTTAGGTTATTTTGAGTAAACCCTTAATACTGGCTTAAAAATATTAATATTAATAAAAAATGTAAAAGGGGGATCTAAAATTTGACTAAGTTCATACTAAATATGAAACTAATAAAATTAGGGAAAAACACAAGAATTTCTGATAAAACTGTTATAATTTGAAATGCCTTTGGAAGTTTTAACCAATTAATCAAAAATAGAACTTAAGAAGTAAAAGTCTAAATATGGCAATATAAACAAAAATTATTTTTCTAGATAACATGTTTTTACAGCTAGAATATTCAAACTGATCAAAAGAAACACTAATAAAGTTAGTAAGAAAATTCGATAAGGTGGCTGAAAACAAAATAAACATACAAAATTGCATAGCTTTTCAGAATACCAGTCTTAAATAATTGGAAGTATAGTGGTCCCTGGGTAGCCATGGCGGATTGGTTCCAGAACCTTCTTCAGATATCAAAATCCATGGATGCTCAACTTCTTTGTATAAAATGGTGTAGTATTTGTACATTGCCTACACATCTTCTCCTGTATGCTTTAAATAATCTCTAGATTACTTATAATGCCTAATACAATATAAGACCATGTAAATAGTTGTTATACTATATGATTTAGGGAATAATGACAAGAAAATAGTGTGTGTACATGTTCAGTACAGACATAGCCCTCCATTTTTTCCAAATATTTTCTATCCTCAGTTGGTTAAATCTTTGGATGCAGAACTGTTCCATGCAGAGGGTTGACTGTATAATTAAATACATACATACATACATACACACACTCACACATACATACATGCTGATACTATATACACACATACATACATACTAATATTCAAATATGAGGCACTTAGTAAGAAAATGAATAAGAAATATATGGGATGTAAATAAAATAAACTGCAGATTTCCTGAAAGCAATGAAGAAATATTTAAATAAATTAAAAGTTATGCAATATTTCTGTATAAGACTACAAAACACAATGCAAAATTCTTTTCAAACTAACTACTTTAAATTTGTAACACAATTTTAATTAAAACTTTAAGGAGATCTTAACTTAATTTGAACAAAAATAATTATCAAGTTTGTGAAAGACAACCAGAGATAAAACAATTCTTAGTAATTTTAGAGTAATAACAGAAGATGTGTCTGAGAGATTAAAATATTTATAAAATGTATTATAATTCAGTGCAGAATTTCCACAAAATAGATAAATTGAGTAGATAAAATGAATAGCCCCCAAATGGAAACTAGTTCATAAAAAGAAATATGTAATAAAAAATGTGGAAAACAATGAGGGAATAAGAAATTAATCAACCAATGTTCTTGAACAAATGGTCACTAATAGAAAAACATGAATTAAGATCCTTTATACCATACGCCAAAATTCATTATAGATTAATTAAGTTTTTAAATATAACAGATCAAGCCATAAAAAGCTAAAAATGTATAATAAAAACTTTCTAAGTTTAAAGTAATTGTGATAAATTATGAAGGATACAGTTTATATGCTGGGAACATAAAAAGTTAAAGCTAAATATCAAGAGTATCACAAACACTATTAAAAGAAAGTGGAGAACTGCTTGCAATGGAAAAAGATTTAATAACTATTGCATAGAGTTCACACAAGCCATCAAGGAAAAAACTGATACAATAGGTGAATAAGTAAAGAATATGAGAGACAATTCATAAAAAAGGAATTTCATATAATAAATATACCACAAAGCTGATTATCCAGAGTAATAAAATATATTTTCATTAAAATTAAATCAAAATTTCAACAAACAGATTTAGAAAGATTTTTAGAAGTTAATACTTTTTAAAAGTTTGTGAAAAGAGGAAGTCTCATTCATTGACGGAAATTGTATGTTTCTGGGAAGTAATTTGAAAATATGTATTAATATACATATTTTATTCTTGGTCATCCATAACAGGGACATAATCTAAAACATAAATATTTATGCATTAAATTGTTTCACGCTGCATTAGGAAAAAAAAAGCACACCTACGTTACATATATGATATGAACCATGTACAACTCAGCAGTTCATGTTAATTGATTCTTTTGTAAATCAAAATATCTATAATACATTGCACTTTCCTAATGACTAATGATGCTGAGCATCATTTTATATGCATATTTTCTTTTAGTATATACTGTTTTGTGAAGTGTCCATTTAAACATTTTACCATTTTTATTGAGTTACTTGTCTTTTTACTACCGAAGTTTTGCTTTTATTTATATATTCTAAATGACAAGCACATAGTGAGGTACCATGACACATCTTTTAGAATGGCTATAATAAAGTGACTGACTAAACTGAGTGTTAGCAGCATGTGGAGAACCTGGAACTCTCATATACTGCTGCTGGCAAAATAGCACAACAACTTGGGAAAGTAATTTGGCATTTAAAAAAATAATTATCATATTTTCCAGCCATACCATCCTTAGTATTTATCCAAAAGAAGAAAAAGTATATATCTATACAAAGACTTGAACAGAAATATTCATAGCACCTTTACTTATAATAGCCAAAAACTGGAAATAACCCAAACGTCCATGAACAGATGAATAGACAAATAAATTGTGATAAATCCACACAATATGGAACATACTAGACAACAAACTAGAACAAACTATTTACTAATACATGCAATGACATGGATAACTCTCAAAATAATTATGCTGAGAAAAAGAGGATAGATATTTAATTATTAATAAGCCATGAGTATTCAACTATTCAAATGATAAACAATTCTAGAAAATGTAATAAAATCTATAGTGTTTAAAAAGTAGATGGAACTGTGGGGTTTGGGGGGAACGTGAGAAGAGTGTGGGGAAGGGTAGAAAATAAGAATTATAAAAGGTGATGAGATCAGTTTAGGGAACGAAAAATATATTCATTATCAGGATTCTGTTTATGGGTTCACAAGTATATACTTATGTCAAAATTAAGCAAACTACATTTGACATATGTAAAGATTACCTTATATCATTTATACCACAATAAAGCTGTTAAATATTTTAGAATGACCATGCATATGACTTTTCATGTTTAAGTGATTTTCTTTATTCTGCAATTATATTATATATGTGTGCAGATTCCTACCTTGTAGCAGTAATGTGAAAAGTGGCCCTCACTGGAACGGTTTACAGAGGGAAGTTCTAAGTGGGTCAGTTAGACAGCATAGGTTACCCAAAAATTTCCCATGGAATATAGGCATAGGAGAGAAGGCAGTAACAATAGGGAGGAGGTGGAGCAAAGAACAGAGAAGGAAGAAATAACATAAGTTAGCTGTAGAAAATGGGTTTGGAATGGTCCAAGAGCACATAAAGGCTGAGGTCCTGAGGCCTGTAGTCCAAGGTCTCACGAATTCTCCCAGGCTGGTCATGAAGACTAGAGTGTCTCATTTGATTTTTGAGGAAAGCCTAGCAGGTTTCATTAGACTAGGGTAAGACAAATGACATGTATTCTGAACTAGGTAATGAATCAATTGATTAAGTAAAGAAGAGACCTCTCAATGATACACCTTCAAAGGAAGAGAAGTTCCCATACTAGACAAGGAGAAACATTGTTCACATTATGTAAAAAGGAATTTGCTGATGAATTGTAGCTAGAAAGGAAGATATGAACACTTTCTTATCCTACTGTGTATATAAAATAATTGCTCTTTGAAAAAGTAAAATCTCAATTTAATGATAATGCTTAGGGATTAAGATGTTCTTGTTAATTGAATTTTTTATTTATACAATCATTGATGACAATCACAGAATTTCACAGTTGGAAAAAGACCTTGGAGATCATTTAGTCCAACCTCATTTTATAGATTAGGTAACAGAGGACCAAGAGGTTAAGTAAATGGCCCAAGGTGGCAGTCAATTAGTGACAGAACTGGGATTATTTTAGAGAAACTTAACTAGAACATGCTTTTTGTTTCAATCTCTGTGATTGAAAATCTTTCTGCTCAAAATGTATTCATCTACTTAAATACAGTGTTAATATAAAAATACAGGAACTCTGAACCTGTAAGGAGGTTGTGCCCCCAATTTCTTCTTTTACTAATTCATTTAACTAATATTTATGGAATGCCTACTATGTTCTGGGCACTGATTAAGTTCTGAGAATAAAGAAATAAAATGTACAAATAGCTCATTTTCTAAGGGTTTGGCAGTAAGTAAATGAGATAAGTGCTATGGCAGTAAGCACAAGGGCTCTAAAACCATAGCAAAGAGGTGTCTGCTGGGGTGAAAAAAAAGATTGTGGCAAGTATTGCATTAATATAAACAATTGATTAATTAAAGATACACACACATTCACACACCCACACTCACACATACACACACACACACACACACACACACACACACAGTAAAACTATAAAGAAAAGAAAGGAAATTATTATCACAAAACTTAGGATAGCAGTTTACTCTAGGACAGAAGGAACGGAAGCAATTGGCAGAAGCCCATTTAATTATATTGGTAATCATCTATTTCTTTTCTTTTTTTTGTTTTTTTTTGAGATGGAGTCTCACTCTGTTGCCCAGGCTGAAGTGCAGTGGCACGATCTTGGCTCACTGCAAGCTCTGCCTCCCGGGTTCACACCATTCTTCTGCCTCAGCTTCCCGAGTAGCTGGGACTACAGGCGCCTGCCACCATGCCCAGCTAATTTTTTGTATTTTTAGCAGAGACGGGGTTTCACCATATTAGCCAGGATGGTCTCGATCTCCTGACCTCGTGATCCGCCCGTCTCAACCTTCCAAAGTGCTGGGATTACAGGTGTTGGCCACACGCCTGGCCAGTAATCATCTATTTCTTGAACTGGAAGGTCATATATATATATACTTATTGTATTTTTTAGGTAGTTATATATGTTTTGTGTTTACAGGTTATATTAAATAAAGAAAAAAAAGTTTAAGCAGCTGAGATGTAAAAAGTTAAAAGGAGAATGAGTGAAAATTAAAGTCCCTCTTAGTGGTAAGGGGAAGAAGAGTTTCCATAGTAGTTCTAGGGATACAGATGTAACAAAAGGAAAAGTGGAGAATTATAAATAAGTTGTGCTTGGGAATGGTGGCAGACACTTCATATTTTTTCACAAAAAATATGAAAAAGAGCCAATTTTGAGAAATATTAGGAAAAGATAAAGGCATTTCAGGGTGTTCCCTTTGGATTGGATGTCCATGGTTCTGTTAGCAAAAATAAGAGGTATGTTTCATATTTGCTGAGAATAAAGGCAAGTGGTTGTAGGCTAGGGAGAGAAAAGTTAAGGGGGTGTGGATGGGAACAGAAGTGTTCTTTAAAGCTAGAAGGGAATAAAAAAGTGTGAAACAGTCTCTAAGTGATACAGAAATTACCATCAAAGTCTGTCTGAAGAGTAGCAATTAATCTGAAGTTGATTATCTTAACAGTCTTGTGACTTTTGTTTTTTGTTTGTTTGTTTAGCAATGATGAGCAGGCTGGCAGCAGAAATAGAGAGCTCAGGAAGCTTAGAATAAGGCGGAATGTGCTGTGGAGTTGACTGAAAAGGAAGGAAACATAGGGTATTGGCTTATGTCATACATGGGACTGGAGTGTGAGAAGTGAAGTTCTGATCAAGCAGACAAAAGAGTGGAAAAGTTGAAGCCATTTGTACCTTAATCTAAACCCACCAGGGAAGAACAGGTATAGAGATTATATTTAGGGTGCCATAGTTAGGTTTATTGTGAGACTAACTACAAAGTGCAGTTGAAAGGGGAAAGGGTGTAGGAGGTTGTATGAGCCATGAACAATGTACAAAGAATGTGACAAACTCAATTTGGATTCAGACAAAAGTCAAAGAGGGTTTTGCAAGAGCAGGTGTTAGTTCCCAGCAGGAAAGCAGGGCACAGCTATAATCTGGTTGATGGCTCAGGAAATTTAGGAAGAAAAAAAAAGGTCTCTATTGAGAAACAGGTTTGTAGGTGGAAAATAAGGGCCCAATTAGTAGGTGAATGTTTAGAAGCAACACTTTTGTACAACTAGAAAGGAGCAGAAAAGGAGACAGGCTAAAATGAATTGAATTATTAATTAGCCCTTGTGGGGGAACTGGATCCCGTAGAGATAAGAGTAAGTTTGACTGTGAGGTCCACATTCCAGAGCCTCTGGCTAGAAGAGTAGTTAAGGCTAAATGTCATCAGATTTGTGTAAGTTGTTCAGTAGATCTTTCCTAAGCAGGATGGTCTTAGACATGCGGAACTGCCAAGGTGTATTGGATGGGTGTCAGGTTCACTAGCAGAGTTTAGAACAGAAGAGTAAAGAACTGAGGTAGGTGCTGTGAGAAAAGGCAGAATAGACATTGTTTAGTAGAAAAGGTTCAGCATTGGGTGTAGGAGGTGGTTAGAATTTAGGGCCAGCAGCCCTTGAGATTCTCTGCTTGTGACTGATACAGTGTGTTGGTTGTCTTCAGGTTTTCTGTTAGTTCATATCATCACCAAGACTGTCCAAAATGATTTATAGTCACCTACATTTCTTCTTGCAGACATTCATCAGAATGTTGGATCATGGGTTAGTATTTTCAAAGACTTGTTATTCTTGGCAAACTCAAAGTGTTCCCCAAAAATAGGAGCACCAGTGCTGTCAAAACTTCTTTAGTATATGAAACTGTCACAAAGGAAAAACAAAACCCACCCTGGAATCCTGGAAGATTCAATCGCTTTCACTTACAGGCCATACTTAACAGAAAAATGACAAGCCAGAGTCACTAACCTTGAGATAGTGAAATGTGGTCAATCATTTGGGAAGGTTAAAAGTGCGTGAGTAAAATTTGTGGAACATATGTGACGTGAAAAATGAAAGGAATAGGACTAAGTGTAGGAAAAATATTCATATAAAATAGAGAAGTTAAAAGTATATTATCATTTTAATTTTTTGTATTAAAATGCACCTTAAAGTTACCTTTAAACTTGATGGATTTAATTTTAATGGGTTGTGTGTGTAAACTTCACTGCAGTGTTCTTCACTGTAAAGCATAAGAGAAGCAACTACATTTGGGCATCATCTGGAGGATTATTCAGGAAAATACCAATAGGGTCTTAAAATTATTTCACCTATGGGGAGTCCCACAGCATGAACCCTGAGTGCAGTGTTTCAGCAAAGCTTCAATATATTTGTATTTTAATACTTTGGAACAAAAACTAGAACAATGTGCTCTGGAATTTAAACATATCACATTAAGAATTCATGGTGAGTGGCTGGGTGTGGTAACTCACGCCTGTAATCCCAGCTCATTGGGAGGCCAAGGTGGGAGGATCACTTGAGGCCAGAAGTTGGAGATAAGACTGGCCAACATGGTGAATCCCCATCTCAACTAAAAATACAATAATTAATTGGGTGTGGTAGTATGCGCTTGTAAACCCTGAGGCAGGAGAATAGTTTGAACCGGAGAGGCAGAGGTTGCAGTGAGCCAAGATCATGCCACTGCACTCCAGCCTGGGTGACAAGCTGTCTCAAAAAAAAGAAAATAGAAAAAGGAATCCATAAGAATGCTAAAATAATTCCCTATTTCATAGTCTTAAAGATTAATTAATATTTTATAATTTTATCATTATTAGATATATCTTTAATTTTTACTTTCTAAATTATATGTAAAATACTTTTAATTGTCTAAATTGTTAATAACTTTCTTCCTGTTGATATTAAATGTTATCCACAGAGAGTTTAAAATTAGGTTTTAATTGTTTTAGGCACAAAACTTTCATGAAAGCTTTTTGTAACCTTATTTATCTGAGAAATATTTTAATGTATTTTAACTTGATTTATGTTCTTGAATATAGGAAATTTTCTTAAAATATAAGTGCTATTCAACATCAATCTAAATATTTTGAACTATGGCCTGGAATAAAAATACATTTTACAAAAGCATGCCATTGTTCATTTTATCCATTTTTTTTCAAAGTTAGTCTTGAACACATACTTTCCTAAGGGTGAACAAAAATTATCACTGTAAAGTAGTTAAAAAAGAAAGAAAGGAAGAAAAAGTCATTCTTACTCATTTAAAATTTTGAAGAAGAAATCATGGAAATAGAAGAAGATTATATGAGTCAAGTTCCCAACATTTCATGGATCAAATAGGATACACTCAAATCTGGATCATTCAGCAAACTACTCAAATATGAGGCTATTTACAGAGATGGGGGTGTAAGGGAACCACAAAGTACAGTGCAGCAACTCTGGCTTGGTAGTAACTGTAGAGCTGCTGCCCCCTGACCTAAGGGAGAAGAGAGGGGACACTTACTGGACCATTACCGGGAGAGGGCCAATAGAATAAATACCAAGTTCATTCTCTTTCTGCCCACTGCTCGTCCACGGCGCTCCCCACTGGCCAGAAACAAAAGCCCTATTGCGGCAGTTTAAGTTGTTACATTTCCTCAAACAGCAGGGTAGAGAAGGAAGAGCAGAGGATCTGGAAAAGCAAACCCAAAATATATAGTTAAAAATGTTTCTCCTAAACTAATGTGCAACGTGTTTAATTCATAAAATTTATTGTGCAGTATTACTAATTACAACCAACAAGTAGATGGCTAAATTATTTCTAATTTCCATGATCATTATTGACAAAGTTCACAATCTTGCTTAACACAAATCTTATCACTAAATGAAAGTTAGAAGAGATATTTTCTGGGGTTTTGTTCACACACATACTTTTTAAAAATTAATATATTCAATAGCTAGTTTCATCATTCATTTTTTTTCAATCATTAACATGCACTCCGCTAGACAATAGGGATTAAAAAGGAGGTCTCTGCTCTCCAGAAATTCATAGTGTAATGAAAGAGACAAATTTAGCAAGTAATTAGAATACAATGTAAGTGAAAAGTGGTTAAAGACCTCAGAACTGGGAAGCCTTCACAAAAAGCTAACTTTTGACCTGAGACTAGAAGAATTACCGTAGATAAAGTGGAGAACATGTGCAAAATCAAGAAGTGAGAGGGTCTGGTATGTTTGGGAAACCACAAAAAGCTAAGAATGATATGGACAGAGTGAAAGTGAAAGATTCAGATGAGATGCGAAAGATGAATTAGGAACAAATTGTAAAGACTTTTTGAATACAAAAAAGTAGCTTGAATTTTGTCTTTAAGACAATAATTTTCAAACTTTTTGCCAAAATAATACAGAAAGCAGAGAGTGAGTTGGTACCATCATAAGTCTGTCAGTAACATATGAAGTAGTAATCTACTGCAAACCAAATAAATAAATAAATAAATGTTATTGTACTTTATTGTGAAAATTAATGATAATTTTACATTTTATTATTTTGTTTGTAATAATATGAAAGAGATGTTTTGACCCATTTACAAATGAGTAAAGTGGATACTAGAGTATGCTCAGCCATAGTTATTTTGGGGCATCTAAAACTTTTTTACATAATCCAAGAAAGTATGCCTTTCCCAGAAAGCTTTAAAGGCAGATTTCAAAAGTCCCACGAGGCAGAGGAGAGTTAACAGAGGTATAAATGTATATATAAATACGTATAAAAGTAAATTTACCAGAAGGAAATACTTTGATGTTAGGGAGGCCACCCAAATATTAGAGTCATAATAGGGACAGTGATAAGGAAGAAAAGATAACTGATTCAAGAAATGCAGCATCTAGGGTCTGAAAACTTTGGGAAAGGAAAAATAAGAATACAAGGATGATTTCAAGATTTCTATCTTGGAAAATGTTTCTCAATGGTGATAATATTGTTGAAAATCAAGAGGAAGGGTTGGAAATGAAGGTGATGATTACAGTTTGGGGACATATTGTGTGAGTTTTACAAGTAGGTCATACATGTAAGTAGAGTTTTTCAGAGAAATTATATAAAATCAGGTCTAGAATTATAAAACTGAAGTTTAGATGAAGGTTCAAAAATTAGTCACTTTTATGATATATGCCCCCATTTACCCTTATGTGATTATTATGCATTGCATATCTGTGTCAAAACATCTCATGTAGCCCATAAATATACACACTTATTTTGTACCCACAAAAATTTAAAATAAAATTTAAAACAAAAAAGTAGCCACCTTTAAACCAAATTTGGTCTATACGAGTGTTCTGTTTAACTTGTACCATGTTAAAATAGTTTTCTGAACAAACACTGAAACATTTGGAGACTAATTTCAACTCTTCTCAAAATACTGGAAGTTCAAAGAACCCTGAGCCAAAGCACCACATGACAAATATTCCACTTGCTAAGTGAGGGCTGCCCCTTTATAAGAGATTGGCAACCTCCTTTACTCCCCTGCTCATTAAAGACACACAAATGCTTACCTCCATCTGCTTTGCTCATTTATATTACCTGTGAGCACCTGTTGATCTTTATATTTTCAGTCAAAGCTTTTATAGTTAATGAAAGCACAACTGAAGAGGAGAGAAGCGGAGTACAACTGAGAAAGAAAAAGAATTAAGAAGAGACAAGGAGAAGAAATGGGAGGGGAGAGGGAGGAAAGAAGAATGTTTGCCCTGAAAAGTATTACAGAATTTGGAAGAGAGTTTCAGCAAAGGATTGTAAGGATTGTCAAACAAGTAAGAAAACTGAGATTATGCTGTCATGAAAGCCAAAGGACGAGAGATTTCCAATAAAGATATGAAAAATCCCATGCAGTGAAAAGGTTCGGTTCAAAGAAATTTGGAATTTTGGAGATCATGTTGTTTCAATAGGGGTCAGGTTGCAGGAAGTACAGTAAGAAGAATGGAAAATGAGAAAAGAGCTACAAATGATATAAAAAAATTGTAGTGATTTTTTTGTTTGTTTTTGAAAAGTTTAATTCACGTAACATTCTAAAAATGATTCTGAAAATGTTTTACATGTAAAGGTTTGTAGAACATCAGAAATCAGTGTCCTAAATTATAAATTCTTACTTGACTTTAAATAAATTTTATCTTTAGAATGCACATATCAAATGAGAAAATTGATTGGTGAAGAGAAACATGACTTGGACTTTGTTTTAGAATGTTGCTTGAATATGAGGATAGATGTGGACTTGAAATAAACCAACTTAAGGCTGTGGTAATTTTTGGACCTGACTCTGATTTCTCCTTATTTAGGAGACTATCAGAAAAGTTAGAGAAATATTAGTGAAAGCATGTATTATGCCTAAGGTTTATATAAACTTATTATCTAACTCAATATTTTAAAAAAATCATTTGTGGAACAGCAGTAAGTCCATTTACAGCTAATGACGTGTTCTGCACCCCACCTGTATCAGTCAGCTTGGTACATGAAACCAAATACAAACTCAAAAGGAGTATGCGATTGAAGAGAGTTTACAGAAGGGACTGTTGAACAAAGGCTTCAACATAGTTAAAAGAAAACATAAAAGAATGGTAAAACATCCAATGGCTCGTGATAGTGGAAAGACGGTTCAGCCCCAACCCTGAGTATATAAGGAGAGGAATTATTTAGAGAACTCAGGTAAACATGTCACTGTAGAAAAGGAGCAGGGCACGATCTGTGGCCTTCAAGAGACAATAATAACAGCCAACCTAAAGCCAGGCACTAACTGAGCTAGGAGAATAAGTAACTCAAACCCATTGTCTTTCTGATCTCTAATTTTTAGGCTTTGTTTCCCATATTCTGAGGCCAACCAGAAGTTAAGGCAGACCAGTTGATATGCCCGTAGAAGTTAGCCTCTCCTAGCACAGAGCAAAGTAGAAAAAGAACAGAAAGACATCTCTCTTTCAGCAAGTCTCCCAGGCCCTTGCTGGGAGACTTCAAGGAACAATGAGATATATCTTCTAGGAACAATGAGATATATCCTCTTCAAGGAACAATGAGCTATATCCTCTACCCCGATAGTAATCATGTCTCATTCTTACTCTCTTGCTGTTTGGAGTCTTGGACATAAGGCAGGTGCTATGGCATAGTAGTTTGTTGGTTTCCTTGTTTTTACAGCATTCAACCTCTTCTTATTTTGAAGAAACTCCCCATTGTTTATTGTCTCTGTGGGGATATGGGGGAAAGAACTCCTGCCTGTGATTGAAGGCTACTGGAAGCCAGAAAAATAGACTTTCCTTCTTCCTGCCCTTTGACTAGTAAGGTAAGTGTCTGGGCCTAAGAGCACTGAGTGAGATACGCCCCTGCCAAAACACTAAACTTGGAAGATATAAGCAAAAGTAACTAGAGTTAGGATTTATTCTAGACAGAGGAAGCTTTTCTCATTTCCTTAGCAGCAGCAGCAGTAGCAGTAGCCTGCCAGGTTATCCCTGCTAAAAACACTTGTAGTGCTTCCTGTATTTTTACTACTAGGAAGTGTTCAGCTCAATTCATTCCTCTAAACTAGCCTTCCAGCTTCTCTGCAATTACATATGTTCCAAAAATCCTCCCAATAAATGCGCTTGTTGGCTTCTGTTATTTGTACCCAAGAGCATCGTAACACGTATGGTTCCTAGTTGCAGCTTTGAGTTGCAAGCTGGATGACACCAGGTTCTCCCAAAGAGCAAGTGAAGTCCTTTCTTTGCTTCTGTCACCTGGATCTATCCCAGTTTGTCCTGTCCTCTTTATCCAGCCACTCAGTCCCCTTACGTAATCCTCCCTTTGACCTGACTCTTCCTCTTCCCTTCTCGTTAGTTTTTTATTTTAAAAAATAATTTTTTAATAAAAAAGAATTTTATAATTTCAATCCTAATCTTGGGGAATATTTTAATGAATTAACTTAAATGGGAATAACTGATAGAAGCTTAATACAATAACCAATAGACTTTCAAAAGTCAGAAGCCAGCTGTTAATGGAGATATTTGGGGAATAGGAAGACCATCCTGGCAGTCTAAAAATCTAAAACGATTGACTACTCTGATTACAAATCTTGATGCAAGGGAAGGCAGGAAAATAACATGTTACCTGTGTCTACTCTAAGCTAACAGCACTATGCTAGCCACTTTTGGAAAAAATTACCTCCTTTTGTTCTCGTAAAAATATAGTTTAGGCAACTGTCTCCAGTCATGGCTATTTAGTGAAAAACCTGGGAACTGAACATGTAACATCTACCCTCAGTTCCTGCGATACCACCATCCTGCCTAAAAATGACAGCTACCTCTTTACAGAACTTGACACTCATATATGAATGTGAGAAAATTAGTGGCAGGAGTCTGTTCAGTGACAAACGTACAAGAAACTATATGGCACCTCAAATTTCAAGATGAATTTTTGACAGCACAAGAGGCACTTTATTAAGAAGTCATGAATTTGATTGGGTTATGCTTAAAACATCTACTAGAAAACCATTTCTTAACATTACCATTTTATTTTCTATGGTATTGATGGAAAGGAAATTGCATAATTTGCTCATGTGTCAGGGGTAGTCTGCTTATTTACTGTTAATGATAATCAAAATATCTGACATGTCATAATGTTCTGGTAACACTTAAATCAAACTGATTATACTGGAAACCTAATAAACAGTAACTACAGAAATTTTTAATATGCTTCTGGCTGTTGACGTACTGCCAATTGGTAAAATATTTAAATTCCAAACCACAAATGGATGTGTATTAGACTGTATAATCAAAATAGAGGAAATAAAAACACAGCTTTGATTGCGCAGCCTTTTAACATTAAATTAAAGAAAAATAAGTAAAAATCAAAAAAATACACTTCAATTTTGGATGTTAACTTTAGAGAATTAATATTGTTTCACGAACAAGATGAGTTTCTTTAGTGTAATTGAATTCTTTTTGGTAATCGGGTTTCATAGGTGTGACTGGAAGCAGCTGCAAAAGCAAATCAAGTTTGCTCAGAAAGAATATTAATGGCATTCTGAAATTTCTTATTCCCAACAGGAGAGTAAAACTTTAAGCTAAATACTTGAAAGAATACACATTTTACATGTTTCTTTTAGTAGTTATGAGAGTTGCTTATTAATCAATGTTTAACAATGTAATTACAGCTGTTTTAGTCTCACCAGATAACACAGATTAATAAATGACCTGCAACTAGTGAAGTGTATAAAAAGGGTAATGAATTCTTTCCATCAGCACATTAATTTATTAGTAATAAACAAAGACCATGATGAATTAGGAGAATTGTAGGGTTTCTGATTATTGAAATCAAATTTCCAGATGAAAGCATTTAATCATTCAGTTTTCCTTCATTTATTTCTCTTCATGTCTGATAATGGGCTGGGATTTGCCTTTCAGGGCTGCATTAAATAGTTGATATAAAGCTCATCTCTTCTACTATTTGCAAGTTTATATTGATCCTATCCTTATTGTTATATATTAGTTTTACCTAACACTGAATGTAGTATAACTTTGATTTCAACTAATTGAATTATTTATGTTCAGAAGAGCTTCTTGTTCCAGCTCAATAAAACGTTGCTGGATCAGTAGCTGTTTTTTTCAAAACTGGAATTAACTATATAGAATCCTATTTGAAAGTTTCAGCTAAATCAAAGGAAAAAGGCAAAATGCATGCATATTATGACAAATATCACCAAAATATGACAATAAAGGAAAATTATTAGTCATATGAACACTGAAAAGTAACATTTAAGACTCATATTATCAACTTAAAAAAATCTAGCGTCTTTTGAATTTCAGAGCCATACAGTTGCTCAAATATGAATTTTTACCTGGTAGCATATATTATAATAAATATTTCTTCAATAACCACCAATTTGGGGGGGATGAAAAATTGGGGGGGGGGCAAAAATTTAGATATATATTACTAAATTAGAAAAGAAATGCTGCTTTAAAAGACTATAATTAGAAGGAAGAAATACTTAAGATTTTTTAAATGTGCAAAATTTGCTTAAAACCTATACGTATTCTGCTTTAACTGTACTTTAACATGTGAATTCGGAAAGAAAGGTATTCATTCTTTTAAGAAACAGTAGGTAGAGTGAGCTGGAAGTGAGAATTTTCCAAGGGTAAGAATTGGAAGCAAAATAAAATTTTACACTAACTTTCTGCCCAGAATGGAAATGAGTCAAGCAAGAAAAATACTCTCTCCTGATAAGACAGGGTAAATTATAGAATGTTTCAAACACCTGAAGGATGACACTGCCTCCTGCCTGCACCCACATGTAGTTGGAAATAACCTCTCTTCTTCTAGCTCTAGTCTAGCCTGATGGAACATAAAGTTTTTTCCTCATGTAAAAAGAGGCAAGTTCGCAAAGGAACAACTACTTATGCATGATCAGGAAGTAACTTGGTATTTTTTTCTGCAGGAAAACTTACAAAGAGGACGTTAAAAGCTTTTTAAGACAGAGAAATTATATATATATAATGATTCCTAATGCCAAAATTGTTCTGAATTCTTGGAAATTAAAAAAAATAGACATATATTCATTCTGAAATTGTGCTTTAAAAAAAAAAAAAGTAGGGTACTTCTACTCTCGTCCAAATTTTTTCACAAAAAAACCTTTTTCACGTTTCCTGGAAGACTATGGTGCACTGGGTCCTACCGTACTAGCCCTGTTTGTAGCCTCACCTTCCGGGATGTCCATGACATTTGGACTTATCATCCTTATGTTGTGCTTCATATAAGAGTTATTTAGTCATGTAGTAAAGACTCATTGACTGTCTTGTATTTTAATCCCTGTAGTGGCTGAAATAGTAGTTGCCAACCTGAAAGTACAGAAGAGTGGTAAAAATGAGCCACTTCTTTGGAGGCTCACACAATCTATTGCCAACAGAATATCAAGCTGAAGATGGAATTCATACTGCTCTTTAACTGTTTACCAAGTTGTGGTACCTGAACTCACCACAAATAGTAGGTTTAGCTTCTTGAGGAATTCGAATATCTTAGAGGGCTACGGAACCATTAGAGTCAGCATAAGAACAAAATTAAAGTTAATCAGCATTTCCTGGTGTGGAGCACTTTTCATTGTATCAGAATTCTGCTGGACCAATCAAAATATGAAAGAGGGAAGGGTATTTAATAAATATTTGAATAGATAAGTGAAGAGTAGTAATGACCAGTAGAGTAGGCAGTAAGAGTAGGTCAAATTATCTCAAGCACAGCCACATGCAGCAGGCGACAGTTGTGAATAAATGGGAAAATAAATATGAGAGATAAAGCAAACCCACATTCACGTATATCATACAGTTTTATATTTCACTCCCTTTTTTCCTTTCTTTCATTTTCATCAAGATTTCTGGTCACTTTCAGACCTAGGAAGCTCTTTTTTTCTGAAAATGTTTATATTTCACTTTAAAACATAATTTAGCAGATGAAAGGTTTAAATGGAAGAGGAAATCATTCAGTGGTGCACATATTAAATGTTTCTGACCATACCATTTCTACATTGTCACTACAACATGTACTAAGAAAATTGATAGTGAGATCTATGTATTTTTAGTTGTGATTTAATGCTTAATTTTAAGAAGATATTTATAAAATGTATATCCAGAGATTGACTAGGTATCAGTTGAAGGGACTCAGTGAGTAAAACCTATCACTTTTCCTTAAAATGCGGTATTTTGAGGTATAAGATAAGAAGCAAGCTCAACTGGTTGGTTGATGATAAGGTTTGGCTCTGTGTCCCCACCCAGATCTTATGAATTGTAACTCCCATAATTCCCACAGGTTGTGGGAGGGACCCAGTGGCAGATAAATTAATCATGGAGATGGATTCCCCCATACTGTTCTCGTGGTAATGAATCAGTCACATGAGATCTGATGGTTTGATAAGGGGAAACCCATTTCACTTTGCTCTCATTCTCTTTGCCTGCTGCCATCAATGTAAGACGTGACTTGCTACTCCTTGCTTTCTGCCATGATTGTAAGGCTTCCCCAGCCACGTGGAACTATAAGTCCAAATAAAACTCTTTCTTTTGTAAATTTCCCAATCAGCAGTGTGAAAACGGACTAATACAGTTGAAAATATGGGCCCCGAGGCAGAACACAGGAGGAGGGTCTCTCTGTCTCTCTCTCTCTCTCTCTCTCTCTCTGCTCCTTCTTCCCCCCTTCCAAAGATGGAGAGTAAATACAAGAACAACATTATCAAACACTTACACTGTGCTATGTGATAGATGTTGTTCTAAGCACATTTGTCTCTTAATAATTACATGAGTTAGGTACAATGATTATATCCACTTTGTGGGTAAGAAAACTGAGCCACAGAGTAGATAAGCGACTTGTACACAGTCACTGAGCTGGAAAGGGAGGCTGAGAATAGAATCCTCACAGTTTGGCTCCTGTGATCAACACCAAAGCTTCTTTGCTTACATTATGAAATCCATCCCTGGTAGCAACAAGTTAGAAGCTGAGATAAATGGAGTATATTGCAGCATTCAGTCAGAGAATTGAGAGGGATGAAATAAGGTAGGTGAGAGGAAGAAGCAACAATTTAAAAATTATAGGCAAGTTGCAGTTGGTCTGAGGAATTCTAGAGCTATCATATAAAAGCTTTCAGTCATTTCTCTAAAGATTACAGTAGAGGAATTATTAACAGAAAGAGAAGTATAGGAATTATAGTTATCAGGAAAGGAGAAATTTCTGAAACAGTAAAAGGAAAATTTCTAAAGCATTTGTAGTGTGAGCCTTAGAGTTTCAGAATGAATTTATAATGACATGGGAGCACACTGACTGGTGGCAATGGCCCACAGAAAGTTGGGAGTTATTGATCCATTCTGAGAGAGCCGGCAGAAACTAGCAGGAATTTAAGAAGAAAATGTGTCAGAAGCATCAAAAGAGGTCACTGAGTAAATACAAAAACACATAGAAAATCCAGTTTAATTCTAGAGAGGCTGAATTCTACATAAACATAGCAGAAATAATAATGCCAATGTTATTTAAACTATTCAAAACATGAACAAGTTTCAATATAATTTTTGAATGTGTCATAACCAAGAATGAACACTGTGAGCCAATTTCACTTATAACTGTAGATACCTAAATTTAAATAAAATAGTGGAGATAATCATTGTACCTAACGCCTAGAATTTTTAAGAAAAAAATGTGCTTAGAACAACATCTGTCACACAGCACAATGAAAGTGTTTGATAATGTTATTCTTGTATTTATCCTCTGTCTTTGGAGAAAGGAAAGAAGAAGAAGAGGTGGGGGGACCCTGCTCCTGTGTTCTGCCTTGAGGACCACAATGGATTGAGAGAAAGCAAATGAAAAAAGAAATAGTCCTTGTAAATAGCTACTTGTAGAAATTTGGGGTTTCTCTACTAATAATAGACAAAATAGACTTTAAGCCCAAAATTGTTACAATGATAAATAAGAATATATATATATATACAGTTTAAAAAGACATTTAATCAATAAACTGTAACATTTATAAACATATATTCACCAAAAAGAGAGAACCCAAAATATATGAAGCAAACATTGACAAACTTGAAGGGAGATACAAACAGTTCTGTAATAATATTTGGAGACATCAATACCTCACTGTCAACAATGGATAGAAGATCTGGCCAGAAAATCAATAAGGAAATAGATTATTTGAATTGCACTTTAAACCAACTAAATCTAACAAATATGTATAGAACACTCCACCCAACAACAACAGAATATACATTCTTCTCAAGTGCACATGGAGCATTCCCTAGGATAGACCATATTGTAAGCCAAAAAACAAATCTCGGGTTTTAAAAGATATCAAAATATCTTCTCCAACCATAAGAGAATGAAGCTAGAAATCAATTCACCGAGGGAAAACTAGAAAATTCACAAATATGCTGAAATCAAACAATATAAAATACACTTAAGCAACCAGTGAGTCAAAGAAAACAGCACAAAGGCAATTAGAAGAAAGATTTCAAATCATATCTTAATATTACACTTTAAGAAACCAGAAAAAGAATATGCAGCTAAACTCAAAGTTAGCAGAAAGAAGGAAATAGTAAAGATTAGAGTAGAGATACATAAAATAGAGCTAAGAAAACAGTAAAGAGAATCAAGGAACAAAAAAATAATTACTTGTAAAGATACACAAAATGGAAAAATCTTAGCTAGACTGGCTAAGGAAAAATGAAGACACAAATAAATAAAATCAGAACTGACAACTGCAAATTATTACTAACTTTACAGAAATAAAAAACAATTATAAGAGAATACCATGAAAAACCAAATAATTAGATAACCTAGATGAAATGGAAAAATTCCAAGAAACACACAAACTACCAAAACTGATGACTTAAGGAGAAATAAAAAAATCTGAACACATGTATAATAAATAGAGATTAAATTAGTAATCAAAAACCTCCCAACAGAGAAAAGCCAAGGTCTACTGCTTTACTGGTGAATCCTACCAAATATTTTAAACAAGATTAACACAAGTCCTCAGACTTGTCCAAAAACTAAAAGGAGAGGAAACTCTTCCTAACTCATTTTATGTTACCAGCATTATCCTGATAGTAAAGCCAGACAAAGACACTACAAGAAAGGAAAACTACAGATGAATATCCCTGATAAATATTGATGTAAAAATCCTCAACAAAATATTAGCAAACAGAAGTCAGCAGCAATTTGGAATTACGTTTCCAAATTGGAGCCCTGAATGACTAGAATAGTATTGAAAACAAAGACAAAGTTGGAGGACCAACACTTCTCGATTTCAAAACCTACTAGAAATCTATAGTAATCAAAAGAGTGTAGCACTCTCATGAGGATAGATATCTAGACTAATGGAATTGAATTGCATGCCATTATCAAGTAGGATTTATATCAGGAATTCAAAGGTGGATCAACACAAAAAATAAATAAATATAATACACCACACTAATAAAACAAAAAAGAAAAAAAAATCCTCACCATCTCAGTCGATATAGAGAAAGTGCTTGGCAAAATCAGATACCATTTATTGATACGAACACTGAGAAATTTGAAAGAGAAGAGAACATCCTCAAGTAATAAAGAACTTTTATGAAAAAACCCTAAGTAACATCATAACCATGGGGAAAAACAGAGGAATGAAGGCGAAATACAAGGATGCCCGCTTTTACTATTGCTGTTCAACAGTGTGCTGGCAGTTTTAGCCAAAGCAATTAGGCAAAGAAGAAAAAGAAAGAAAAGAAAGAAAGAAAGAAAGAAAGAAAGGAAGGAAGGAAGGAAGGAAGGAAGGAAGGAAGGAAGGAGAAATAAAGAAATAAAAGGCATCAAAATTGGGAAAAAAATCTTTATTTAAAAATAACATAAATCTATATATAGAAAATTCCAAAGTATACACACACACAAACATACACACACAAACCAAACCAAAATAAAACAAACAAAAAACAACAACTAGACCTAATAAATAAACTCAGCAAAATTGCAGGATACAAGATTAACATACAAAATTCAGTTTTATTTCTACATACCAGCAATGGTAGTTTGAAAGGTTTTTAAAATCAATTTGATGTATAACAGCATCCAAAAGAATAAACTATCTATGAATAGATTTAATCAAGTAGGTGAAAGGCTTCACTAAAACACAAAATTTTGCTAAAAGGAATTATATACCTACATAAATGAAAAGACAACTTGTTTTCATAGATGGAAAAATAATATTGCTAAGAGGCAATATTATCCAAAGAGATCTAGACCTTCTATGCAATCTCTATCAAAATTCCAATGGCCTTTTTTTTTCTTTTTTCTTCTTTTTGCAGACATTGAAAAGCTTATTTTTAATTCATTTGGAATTACAATTCCAAATTGAAGCCCTGAATGACTAAAACAGTACTGAAAACAAAGACAAAGTTGGAGGACCAATACTTCTCGATTTCAAAACCTACTAGAAATCTACAGTAATCAAAAGAGGGTAGCACTCTCATGAGGATAGACATCTAGACTAATAGAATAGAATTGAAAGTTCAAAAATAACCCATACATCTATGGTCAATTAATTTTCAGTAAGAATGCCAAGACTATTTACTGGAGAAAGAATAGTCTAGGACATCCACATGCAAAAGAATAGTGCTAGGATAACTGGATATTCATATGCAAAAAAATAAATCTGGACCTCTATGTTACACCACATACAAAATGGCTCAAAATAGATCAATGATCTATTTCTATAAAAGCTAAAACCAGAAAATTCTTAGAAGAAGACATAGTGGTGTATCTTTATGACCTTAAATTTAGCAGTGAATCATTAGATATGACATCAAAACATGTGCAACCAAATAAAAAATAGATCTAAGTTGGACTTCCTAAAAGTTAAAAACTGTTTTGCATCAAAGGATATTATCAAGCAAGTGAAAAGAAAACCTATAGAACAGAAGAAATATTTTCAAACTATATATCTGATAAGGGATTAATACTAAGAAGAAAAAAAAAAAACTCCTACACGTCAACAACAAAAAAGGCAAACACCCAATCTCCAAAAAATGAGCAAAGGACTTTAATAAACATGTCTCCAAAGAAGATATGCAAATGGCCAAGAAGCACATGAAAAGATAGTCAATATCAGTAGTCATTAGGGAAATGCAAATCAAACTCAGAATGAGCTATCACTTCACACTCCCTAGGATGACAATTAGAAAACAACATGTTGGCAAAGATGTGGAGGAATTGAAACTCTTATACATTGCTTATGGGAAAGTAAAACGGATCAGGCACTATGGAAAATAGTTTGGCAATTCCTCAAAAAGTTAAATACAGAATATCATGCAACCAAACAAATCCAAATCCATTCAATATATGCCAAAGAGAAATGGAAACAGGTACTCAAATAAATATACATATATGCATGTTCATAGCAGCACTGTTCATAATAGCTAAAAGGTGAAAACAACTCAAATGTTCATCAATATATGAATGGATAAATAAATTTGGTATACAATACGATTTTACTTATCCATAAAAAAGAATGAATTGAATATTTATACATGCTACGACTTGGATGAACCTTGAAAACATTATGCAAGGTGAAAGAAGCCAGTCACAATCACCACATATTGCATAATTTCACTTATGTGTAATAACCAGAATAGGTAAAATCCATAGACACGGAAAGCAGATTGGTGGTTGTCAGCCAGTAGGAGGAGGGGAGAGTGAAAATGGGTAGTAATTACTTCATAGGTTTCACTTGGGGTGATGAGAATATTTTGAAATTTGATAAAAGTGATGGTTAAGCAACATTGTGAATATACTAAATGTCACTAAATTATTCACTTAAAATGGCCAGCTCTATGTCATGTGAATTTCACCTCCAAACAAGCAATCAAAGAAACAGAAAAAAACATAATAAACCATGGTCAAATAGGGCTCATTCCAGAAAGGATGATCAAGGTCAGTTCATCTACTTAAGTAACAAACCCATATAATTATAGTCTCGGTCAGTTAGGCTCCTATAACAAAAATACCATAAACTGGGTGGCTTATAAGCAATAAAGAATATATATTTATGAATAAGTAATATTAATAAAAATTCTAAAATAATAGAATTAGAAGAGAACAATTTCACTTTGATGAATTTTGATAACAGATATTTATCAAAAACTTACCATTATAGTGAATGGTGAAATGTTAAAATCATTTCACAAGTCAAGAACAAGAATACCTGTACCAACTATTGTGATTGAAAATTATTTTGGAAAGTTTAGTTAATGCAATCAGATATAACAATTTTTTTAATACTGGAAGAATAAAAAACTCTATTTATATAATATATGAATATATACCCAGAAAAATCCGAGAATTAAAAATAAAATTTAGTTAAATTGGGTGGATACCTAATAAACATGAAAAGTTTCATTGATAATTCCCAATAACAAGTTGATAGGACTGAAAAATAAATGTTCCAATTACAATTTAAAAATTATAAAATGCAAGGAATAAGTTTTCAAAAATAGCACCTGTGTGAGAGAAACTATATTATTAAAAAACAAAAACAAACAAACAAAAAAAAACAAGACCTGAACAATTAGAGGAATAGATTTTTTTCTCTTGGTAAGAATATTTCATATTATTTTTATTAACTTACTGCAAGTCCAATCAGACTTCCCACACAATTTTTAAGGTTAAATATTTCAATGTTTATATTGAATAATAGCCCATGAAGACCTAGCAAAATTAAGGAAGAGTATAATGAGTAGAAAAAAATAATATTAAAAAAATACTAGTTTTCCTAAATACCAAACTTCTTACTATAAAACTTTTGTAATAAAATATAGTATGGTCATGGGCAGTGAAAAATCAGTGACACAGAACAGAGAATTCAAAAGTAGATCAGTATATATAATGACTCACAACACTAGGTAGCTATATAGGCAGTTATAAACCCAAGAAAAAGAAAAAATGGTGTGGTGTGTGTGTGTGTGTGTGTGTGTGTGTGTGTGTAGAAGATTTGTGTTCTGAAAGATACAGTTGGAAGGAAGGAGGACACTGACTCCATCTCTCAATGGTGAGGTATGTGGTGCTGAAAACATTCAGTTTCAGGTGAGATACACTCTGGGTACTATCCCTGAAGGTGCCAAGGTGGGAAAACTCTCATAGAGGTTGAGAAACTTACTCACCATGTGCCACCAATATTAGCAGGAAAACAGTGGAAAGCATCAGGAGTAGTACAGAGAAGAGAAGATATGAGGAAACAGTTGGGTCAGGGACAAGCAAGAAGAATGAGAGAATGAATGAAATTGAATGAATAAAATAAAGATGGAGCTCACCATATGCAAAGTTAATTTTGATTTCATTCAGTGTTTAAATTTTAGAGACAGTTTTTAGAATGGTTCATATTTATGGAAATGAACAGATCCTGTTGATGCATTACGTGAGAAAACAAGTTATAGATTCAGACGTTATGATTGTTTTAAGCAATTTTGTAAACATAGGGAAATGACCATATTGTAAGAGGATGGATAAGGCTGTGGTTAGATACACACCAAAATGTTAACATGTTTATATGGGATCAAACTGGGAAATGAGAAGTAATGAAGAAGGTAGTGGGAAATAATTATCAATTTTTCTTTATATATTGTTGCATTCTTTAGTTATAGTGAATTCATGTTACTTTTTATATTATTTGAAAATACACTTACAAGAAAATAAAATAATATATTGTAAATCCTTCTAAAGCAGAAGTGTGGCTTAAGAAACATGACAGTAGAAGATTGAGACTGAGGGAAAACCATTAGAAATCTGAACTGGGAGGAAAAAGGAAAGCATTTATTAGGCCTATGCCAAAAATTGGAACATAGGACATTCTCCCACTCGAAGGCACCGACACAATTTAGATAAATTTGTAGTACCAATATCTCAGGAGATTTAGGCAGAATGGCACAGATCAACCCAGTGTCCATTCCATGGAAGCATTCAGAGACTGAGGCTCCTCAGTCCTACCACAGAAACACTGAGAGTTACAGAATGGCAAATATCTGTAACTGGTTCCAAGCAAGAGGTAAGAGAGAATGAGGCACTCAGTAGGAATTGTTGGAATTGAGGTAGAACTTGGGCCTACTCATCAAATTGTTCTACAAATCAATTAGGCTAGTAAGTAGTCCATAGTAATAAGCAATATTTATTATTAATAATAATTTGACAGAAGGCTGCTTACTTGTTAGACCTTTTGCTGAATGATAACTTTTGTAAAATTTGTTTAAAGACTACTATCTGCAATGCACTGTGTTAAGTGAGTTATACACATAATTTCATATTGAATCTCTGGGAGATACCTATTTTCATCTCTGTTACAGATGAGGAAACCAATACTCAACAACTAGAAGTTACCTACCCTAAATCATAAAGCAAATAAGAATATGGACTGGGGTTTAACTATAGATATGCATGCCTGTGTCATTATATATCATAAAAAATACACCCCAGGGTAAGACTGTAATTGACGTTTAATAGTGCTCCCTGAATAGTATTTGTTTCCAAGATACATGCCTAAAACTAACATCTTGACTTAATACAAAAATCACATTCAATTAGCAAACAGGCACCAATGATTCTTTCCATTCATACAATTTTTCTAATATTATGATCTTAGAACTTAGGCAGGCCTGAGATATTGAAGCTATAGTTATTGAAAACTTTTAAGGAAAATTGATGAAAGTGAATGATTACATTGAAATTGGAAAATTAATTATCAACTTTTGTGTCATGCCAACATAGAGAATAGAGCCAGTGCCCAAGAAATGTAATGAAGTATTTGAGGTTATGTAATGATACAACCAGAAAAAGATATACCTGAGGAAGAGACAAAAAGAGAACTGTTATATGAAAACTTCTTTTTATTTGAGAAAACATCAAGCACACTACCAAAATATTTACACCAAAACCCATAAAACCTGCTGGGGACATGACATTAAAACAGTACTAGTTTTTCTGGATTTCTCATAAAGTATATATGGCAGATCATGAGTTGATTTAATCATTTCTTTTCTCACAAGTAAAAGTCTCTTTGTCTTTGAAAGACAAGATGTATTTACAACATTTGTAACTTTATTTTCCTGCCCAACTGAGTTAAGGTATTAAAAATGGCTCATAAACTGCGGGATCAGCAATATGTACAGAGAAATTGTTTATGAGTAGCTCTTTGGGTATAAAGAAAAGTTTAACCATTATAAATACATGGAATGTGTTTTTCTGCTCAACATTCATATATATGTGGATATATATATATATCTCTCTCATATATATACATACATATATATGTGGATATATATATATATATCCACACATGCACACATGCGCACACACACACACAAATGTACATGACTTCTACCAAGTTTATTACATGTTTCTTTAATAAACTAAAAGGATCTTGGTCCATCAAGCTCTGACAGGGAACCCTATTAGGAACTACAGCCTTGCGCATTTCCTTTTAAGATGTTCTCGTTGCAAGGAACTTCAACCTTGTCATGGAAGATACAAAGGAAGTTTGTCAGCAGTATTTGGCCATCCTTCACCTCAAGAAGGGCTTAGCTAGGACCTAGGAATTGGGCTTTATGCAATTTAAAATAATAATATGTGTTCACTTTTGTACTTGCTTTTGTTGTAGTGGGTTATATTTTGTCCTCTTTTTTGTTTTAAATAATAAAGTTAATATTTAATATTAACTTTAATAGGTTTAAATATTAATGTATATCCTAAAAAAATTGTATATTTTACAAACATTAAATCCATTATATATATTTTTAATCATTATGCTTTAAGTTCTGGGGTGCATGTGCAGAATGTGCATGTTTGTTACATTGCTATACACCTGCCATGGTGGTTTGCTGCACCCATCAACCCATCATATAAATTAGATATTTCTCCTAATGTTATCCCTCCCCTAGCCCCCCACCCCCCGAAAAGCCCCAGTGTGTGCTGTTCCCTTCCCTATGTCCATGGGTTCTCATTGTTCAACACCTACTTATGAGTGAGAACATGCTGTGTTTTGTTTTCTGTTCTTGTGATAATTTGCTGAGAATGATGGTTTGCAGCTTGATCCGTGTCCCCGCAAAGGACATGAACTCATCCTTTTTATTGCTGCATAGTAATCCATGGCATATATGTGCCACGTTTTCTTTATCCAGTCTATTATTGATGGATATTTGGGTTGGTTCCAAGTCTTTGTTACTGTGAATAGTGCTGCAATAAATATATGTGTGCATGTGTCTTTATAGTAGAATGATTTATAATATACACCCAGTAAAGGGATTGCTGAGTAAAATGGTATTTCTAGTTCTAGATCCTTGAGGAATCGCCACACTGTTTTCCACAATGGTTGAACAAATTTACACTCCCATCAACAGTGTAAAAGCGTTCCTATTTCTCCACATCCTCTCCAGCATCTGTTGTTTCCTGACTTTTTAATGATCGCCATTCTTACTGGTATGGGATGATATCTCATTTTGGTTTTGATTTGCATTTCTCTAATGACCAGCGATGATAAGCATTTTTTCATATGTCTGTTGCCTGCATAAATGTCTTCTTTTGAGAAGTGTCTGTTCATATTATTTGCCCACTTTTTGATGGGGTTGTTTGTTTTTTTCTTGTAAATTTATTTAAGTTCTTCGTAGATTCCGGATATTAGCCCTTTCTCAGATGGATAGATTGCAAAAATTTTCTCCCATTCTGTAGGTTGCCTGTTCACTCTGATGATAGTTTCTTTTGATGTGCAGAAGCTCTTTGGTTTAATTAGATCCCATTTATCAATTTTGGGTTTTGTTGCCATTGCTTTTGGTGTTTTAGACATGAAGTCTTTGCCCATGCCTATGTCCTGAATGGTATGTCCCAGGTTTTCTTCTAGGATTTTTATGATCCTAGGTCTTATGTTTAAGTCTTTGATCCATCTTGAGTTGATTTTTGTATAAGGTGGAGGAAGGGGTCCAGTTTCAGTTTTCTGCATATGGCTAGCCAGATTTCCCAACAACATTTACTAAATAAGGAATCTTTTCCCCATTACTCGTTTGTGTCAGGTCTGTGAAAGATCAGATGGTTGTAGGTGTGTTATGTTATTTCTGAGGCCTCTGTTCTATTCCATTGGTCTATATATCTGTTTTGGTACCAGTACCATGCTGTTTTGGTTACTGTGGCCTTGTAGTATAGTTTGAAGTCAGGTAGCGTGATGCCTCCAGCTTTGTTCTTCTTGCCCAGGATTGTCTTGTCTATGCAGGCTCTTTTTTGGTTACATATGAAGTTTAAAGTAGTTATTTTTCCAATTCTGTGAAGAAAGTTATTGGTAGCTTGATGGGGATAGCACTGAATCTATAAATTACTTTGGGCAGTGTGGCCATTTTCACAATATTGATTCTTCATATCCATGAGCATGGAACGTTTTTCCATTTGTTTGTATCCTCTTTTATTTCCTTGAGCAGTTGTTTGTAGTGCTCCTTGAAGAGGTCCTTTACATCCCTTGTAAGTTATATTCCTAGGTATTTTATTCTCTTAGTAGCAGTTGTGAATGGGAGTTCACTCATCATTTGCCTCTCTGTTTGTCTGTTATTGGTGTATAAGAATGCTTCTGATTTTTGCACATTGATTTTGATTCCTGAGACTTTGCTCAAGTTGCTTATCAGCTTAAAGAGATTTTGGGCTGAGACGACAGGATTTTCAAAATATACAATCATCTCCTTCCACCTCATTATTCAAGATTTGACATGCATATCGCGTCCTTAAAAAGGACTTTGCCTACACCTTGATTTAAATATGTTTTCTAATCAGTTGTATCATATTGCCAACATTTACTAGTCCTCAAACACTTATTCTCGGATCCCATATTATTTTTATTTGCTCACATGATTTGTCTCCCTCATGCAGAATCTAAACTCCAGGAAGCCAAGTGTGAGTTGTTCATTGATACATCCTCAGTATCTACAACTGAATCTTGCTCAACAAAGAACAAAGAAGAGAAGACTGAAAGGAAAATGAAGAGAAAGAGGAAAAGAGGGAAGGAGAAGTGGAGAAGAAGGTGAGGAAATGTGTTTATTTATCTGAACTTCAATCCAGACTACTTGAATTAGCCAAACCCAAGATGGGTTAGTAAATTTGAACCCTGAAGCACTGGAAACATACTTGTCCATTACTTGTGGAATGCACCAGAATTGGGAGGTAAATGCATGAGGAAACATTAATCTCACAAAGTTTGCAGTGACTTCAGACTTTGGTGGGAAATGGTGCTGGAGAAATTGGAGTATTCCAAAAAGAAAAAAAAAAAAGAAACTGTACCTAACCCTCATGACTATAAGAAAAATAAACCCAAAATAAATAAATCACAGACTTAAATGTAAAAAGTGCTAATACCAAACTTTTAGTAAAAAAAAAAAAAAAAGAAAAAAATAGGAGAAAGTCTTTTGTACATAGGGTAAGCAAGGAGTTTTTAGACTTAGCAACAAGAGTACAATCCACAAAACAAAAACACTTGATAAATTAGGCCTCCCCAAAACTAAAAATTTTTTTCCTGTGAAAGACCTTGTGAAGAGGATGAAAAGCTACAGACTTTTGCTTTCTGTTCGGCAATTTACGAGTTGGAGTTATCTGGCTTCTCTCTATCATTGCCAGGATTTGATGTTATCACAATTTTTAAATTTTAGCCATCATTTAGGTGTGTAGTGATTTATCATTGTGGTTTTAATTTACATTTTGCTAACAGATAATGACGATGAATATTTTCTCACGTGATTACTTGCCATCTGTACATCCTCTTTGGTGAAATGTCTCTTCACATCTTTCACCATTATCCAATGAGATTTTTGGAGTTTTTTTACTGTTGAGTTTTGAAAGTTCTTTATATATTTTAGATGCAATATAAAATGGAGCAGCTCCTTTCAAAAACAGTATAGAAGTCTCAGCATTTTGCAAAATTGAACTTGTGCTTACATATGACCGAGAAATTGTACTACTGGGCAGTATTCCAGATAAATTAAAATGTGATCACTCAAAAACCTGTATATGAACATTCATAGCAACTTTATTTGTAATAGCCCAAACTTGGAAACAATCCAAACATTCTTCAATGAATGAATGGGCAAGTAAACTGTAGTATACTCAGACAATCAAACAATGGAATACTACTTATAAATAAAAAGAATGAACTATCGATACACTCAACAACTTGGATGAACCTCAGGAATTACTATGCTGACTGAAAACAGCCAATCTCAAAAGGTCACTTACTACATGATTTGTAAAACATTCTTCACATAACAAAATGAGAGACATGGAAAAGATATTAGCAGTTGCCAGACATTGGGAAGTTTGGGGAGAGGATGTGGGTGTGACAATAAAGGGGTAGCATGTGAGAATTTTGAGGTGATGAAACAATTCTGTATCTTGATCATGGAGTGGCTACATTAATCTATACATGAAAAGTATATGTCTGGTTTAGTCTATTTTCTGTTGCTTAGAATACTTGAAATTTGATAATTTATAAAGAAAATGAATTTATTTCTTACGGTTATGGAGGCTGTGAAGTCCAAGGTTGAGGGGTTGTATCTGGTGAGAGCCTTCTTGTTGGTAGGGAATTTCTGTGGCATTCCAAGATGGCACATGGCATCAGATGGCAGGAGGGTTGAGGATGCTAATGTGCTAGCTAAGCTTTCCTTTTCTCATAAAGAAACCAGTTCCCTTCCCATGATAACTCATTAATCTATTAACCTATTAACTGATAAATCCATTCATAGGGCAGAGCCCTAATGATCCCATCACTTCTTAAGGGTCTGACCTCTTAATATTGTCACATTAGGTATTAAGTTTCAATATGAATTTTGGAGGGAACATTCAAACCATAGCACTGTCCAACAGAGTAGCAATTAGCCAGATGCTGCTATTGAGCACATGAAATATGGCTAGCAGTACATGTTAAAAGTATAATATCTTTGATATATTAGATTAAATAAAACATATCACTAAAATGTATTTCACCTGCATTTATTTTTAACGTGGCTACTATAAAATTTAAAATCACATATATAGCTCACATTATATGTTTATTGAACAGCCCTGCTCTACAGCAATTATTCCCAGCTCTGAGTATACAGTAGAATTACCCAAGGAGCTTAAAAATGTACTAGTATCTACACTCACCGCCTATTAAATATATAAAATTGTTGATAATGATAATATCACTGGCCTTGATAATTTTAAAACACTTCCTAGATGATTTTAATGTGCTACCAGGTTTCAGAATCACTGATCCAATGTAGTTCTTAATTATGGGGAACGTGGAATCTTTCAGCAATTGGATATGGGAAATCCTCCCCCAGAAAAATGCATATTTGCACAAGATTTGCATAGAATTTCAAGGTATTTCTAACAAACCCCTATTCCAAGGCTTTTATATAATTCACTTTACATCAATTGGGTTTCACAAAATTTGTTATTTACGTCCTTAGTTATACACCTTTATTATCACAGTTCATTGCCAAGTAGGAATGCTAGGGCTAGGGTGAGCTGCCCATCTTGACGCTGCTAGAGACTTTTTTTTTATTTACTTAGCATGTATAATGAGAACTTATCCTGCTTAATTCTGCCTATTTCCCTAATAATTATCTGTTGTGTTTTAATATTTATAGCTCTCTTTAAAAATGAATATACATCCTCTGATATATTTTTCCTCTTTTGAATTTTATATATTAACTATTCTAATGCTCTTCAAAGATTTGAATTGTTATTACTAATGGCACTGCCAAAAAATCTTGCCTCCAGATAATCTAAACTGCAGGAAATGTCCTTGTAGAATGTTTCTCTAGAAATAACCTTAAAAATCTAATTATAAAACACATGGTCAAGCTAATTGAAAACTATTCATTAATTTATTCAACAACTAAGTACCTAGTATATATTTAAGCACTGCTCTAGGCACCAAGAAAGGAGAATTTAAAAACTCCCTATCCTCGTGAGTTCTAAATTCTAGTTTAGAGATATATTAAATGTTACAAGTTAATGTATGATATATTGAGTGATGGTAAGATCCGTGGAAAACAATAATGGGGATAGAGAAGCCTAAAAAAAAATCTTTGTGAGAAGGGACAATTGAGTGGATCTGAGGGAAGTGAAAGAATGTTCCACGCAAATGTGGAGAGGAATTACACTTCTGGCAGAGGGAATTCAAATATCCTGAGGCAGAAGCATGCCTGACCTCTTAGAAGAGCTGGAAGCCAGTGTGATGAGAAAAGGTGAGAAAACGAGAGGGAGCTGGAGAGAGGGTAACAGTTTGGTGAGACTGTGTGAGCTGTTAATGAGATGGGAATCACTGGAGAGTTTCCAGGGCCAGAGTAACATATTATGATATATAGCTTTCTAGGATTACTCTAGCTGGACAGGCACTGTTATAGTCAGAGGCCCCAGTTCACACGCTAATCCAAAATCTAAGAGACAAGTAATGTATTTTAAATTTAAATGCTGTGTTTTGTACCTAAAATTCTAACTTACAAATATATAGAGTGTCTTAGTCCATTTTCTGATGCCATAACAGAATCCCAGAGACTGGGTAATATATTAATAATAGAAGTTTATTTGGCTCATGGTTCTGGATGTTTGGAAGTCCAAGAGGATGGCACTGGCATCTGGCAAGGGCCTTCATACTGCATCATGCCATGGCAGAAGGCAGAAGGCAGAAGGGTAAGCAAATACATGAGACAGAAAGAAGAAATCAGGCAGAACTCATCCTTTTATCAGGAGCCTAATCCCAAGATAACTAACCTGGTCCCACAGTAATGGCATTAATGCATTCATGAGGTCATCACCTCTTAAAGGTACCACCTCTTTTTTTTTTTTTTTTTTTTGAGATGGAGTTTCACTCTTTTTGCCCAGGCTGGCATGCAATGGCACAATCTCAGCTCACTGCAACCTCTGCTTCCCGGGTTCAAGTGATTCTCCTGCCTCAGCTTCCCAGGGAGCTGGAATTACAGGTGCCTGCCACCATGCCCAGCTAATTTTTATGTTTTTAGTAGAGACAGGGTTTTACCGTGTTGGCCAGGGTGGTCTCGAACTCCTAACCTCAGGTGATCTGCCCTCCTCGGCCTCCCAAAGTGCAGGGATTACAGGCATGAACAACCATGCCTGGCCAGTCCCACCTCTTAATACACCATAATGGCAATTAAATTTCAACATGAATTTTGGAGGGGACATTGAAACCCTAGCAGAGAGTAAATGTTTTGAAGTTTTATCAATACGATAAGAATCTTTATAAACACATTTGATGGCATAGGGTTTTAAATGTCATATTTTCCCTCTTATACAAAAGCAAGTAGATAAATATTCCAGATTCCTGACTACCATGGTTTCTCTGGCAATAGAATTTCCTCAAAAACTTAGTAGGATCTTGCAAACATACTGTCATCTGCTGGATTTATGACCAAAGCACCACTGTAGTGCAATGCAAAAGAGTGAGTCTTTCCAAGAAATTATGCTGGGTTCATTGGATATATCTATGGGAAAAAAATGAATCTTGACCTCTACCTCACACCACATACAAAAATTAATTTTACATGGGTTACAGATCAAAATATGAAGGAACAAATGATAAAGATTTTGAGGAAAACCTAAGAAAATACCTTTTTCACTTGGATTAGGCAAAGATTTCTTGAGCAGTACACCATAATTACTAATCACAGAAGAAAACAGTAAAAAACTGGATTACAGTAAAATTAATATTTATCAAAAGATACCATTAACATAGTGAAAAGACAAACCACAAAGTGTGGCAAGATACGTATATCTGACAAATGGTGCATATCTAGATATAAAGAACTCTTAACAGTTTATGAGAAAAAAACAGATGACTCAAATAAAAAGGCAAAAATTTTGAACAGATTCTTCCCAAATGATGATATCCAAATGGCCAATGAACATATACCTATACATACATATGCAACTCTGTGAACAAGTATTTCAACTCCTAAGAATACATCCAATAAAATGCACATATATGGTGTATTGCTTTGGGCTTCTATAGGAAAAACACCATAGATTCATTGAGGCAAACAACAGAGATTAATTTCTCACAGTTCTAGGGGGTAGGAAGTCTGAAATCAAGGTACTGTCATGGTTGGATTATGGTGAGGGCTCATTTCCTGGTTTGCAGATGGCCATCTTCTAGCTGTATCCTCGCATGGCAGCGATCATCTCTCCTGTCTCTTCTCATAAGAGCACTAAATCCATCCATCAGGGTTCCATGCTCATGACCTAATTACCTGCAAAGATCCCACTTGCAAATACTAATATGTTGGGACTTAGGCTTCAACCCTGAATTATTGGAAGGCACAAACATTCAGTCTTAGCATATGGTCATCAAATTAGAATTCTAGAACATATCATTTATAATTTTCAAGAGCAAGGAATTACTAAATGTATATGAACAGTAGGATAAATAAATCAATTTGGTTTATTCTTGCAATGGAATTCTGTACAACCATGAAAATAGAGAAACCACAACTACATGCACTATGCTCAATAACATGGACAAATCTCTCAATTGGTTAAGCGACTACACCAGACACAAATTACATAATAACAGATTCAGGTCACATAAACTACACAAAATGGAAAAACATTTTATTGGAAGTAGAGACTGAGACTTGACAAGAAGGGGGATTTCTGGAAGTTCTTAATGCTCTGTTTCAAAATTCCACTACTGGTTACGCAAGTGTACTCACTTTATAAAAATCAATCAAGCTGTATACTTAATAATAAGTACGTTTTCCTTGTATGCATTACTCTTCAATAAAATTTTTTTTTAATTCTAAATGATAATGGTGCCTCTTATCATTGAGAAATATTAATGGACTTTGTTGTTCAAAGTCTTGAAATCATCTAAGACTTGGAAGTTGAAAGTTAAGCCACAGCTACCACCTTTCTTTTGGCTTTATATTCTGGCAGGAAAGACCATGAAAATGTCTTGTGTTTTTGGCAGCAGTCTTCCACTGACTTTTCTTCAGCTTCTTGCTTGGTGAGAACAGTGGCAGCAATGATAGCTGAGGGAGTAAGGGTTCTTGTTTTCAGCTTCCTGATTCCAGAATCGCTGCTCCAGAGATGCATTCCGAAACCCGCTCCACAGGTGGTTTTAAGTGCAGAAGTGTCAGTGTTGAAGAGTTCTGCACGGATCTGGTGATCATTCTTGGAGGACCAGTCTAAAGCCTGTTTCTTCAGACTCATGGGTGACAGCCCCTAAGATGACCCCAATGATCCTGAATCCCAGTACTCAAGTCCTTGTGTATCATTCTCCTCTTGAGTGTGGACGGGACCTAGTGACTGCCTTGCAATGGGCAGAAAAGTATAGGTATCACTTCTGAGATTAACTTACAAAAAGATGGTGACGTTTATCTTTCTTGTGCCTTGCTGACTCTTTTTTCCTTGTGGTCCTGGCTCTGGATGTAAACAAAGTGTATGTTGTGAGTAACCCTATGAAGAGGTCTGTGTGGCAAGGAACTGACATTCGGTTTGCAGACAATGAAAAATGAGGTTGCCACTGTCATGCTGAGTGATCTTGGAAGTGGGTCTTCTGACACCTAACAACAGTCACTTGTGTTTTAGGAAACAAATCCTCCCCTTCAGCTTTGAGATTATCACGGTGCAGACTGACATCTCAATTGTGACTTTGTGGAAGACCCTGAGACAGAGGACTCAGCTAAGTTGATTGGATTCCTGACACACAAAAACTATGAGATAATAAATATTGGTTTTTTTAAGCCTCTGAGTTTTGGGCTAATTTGTTATGCAGTTATGTATAACTAGTACAATAATGTTCAAAAATTTTGTGAGCAGCTAATTTTCCAAATTAAATTTATTCAGCTTAAAATGCCTAGGGTAGTGTCTGTTTCATCAATAAAGTGTAACTTTTATACTCCCCACTGTGCCCTTTACATATTATCTTGCTCCCTGAAATTTCCTTTCCCCTATTCCCCTTGGCGGACCACCTATTATTGGCAACTCAAGGTCAATCTACAATGCCAGTCCCTAACAGGATGCTCTCCAGTCTGATTTATTGCTCTGAATATATCTATCAGATATCTACCTATCTCAATTAAAAGGCAGTATCCGTTAATTGTGTATTTCTGCCATATACTAAAATAAGTATTTCTTGAGGACCACAATGGAGAACATTTCCTAGTCATTTTTGCATGCCAGTACCTAGCCAAAACCTGGAGAGCAGAATGTATTTCTAAAGTGTGATGAGTGAAGGGAAATAAAGAATAAAAGAGGGAAGAAGCAAAGAATGGAAAAAGAAAAGAACAATTAACTATAAAACCAGTCATTTTTCAAATACAATATGGTAACTACAACATGATGCCCCAAAATCTGAATGAATTCTTCAGTGTCTCATTATGCAGCAGAAAACATATTTCAGGCTAAATGTTGCAGAATGGGATAAAATGAAACGGGTCAGGGCCGCAATAAGATGTACCTAGGTTTGCTAAGGGAAATGCTTGGATCTGTAGGTGATGGAAGTAGCCTAGAAAGGCAGGTTGTATATTGTCCAATAAATATTTTGACAGGAAGACTGGTACTATCTGCAAATGGTTGACATCAGACAGATTCAGAAAAACATAGTAGTAGTTGTCTAAAAGGTGGCAGGAAAAGTCAGGCATTGACGAGCAGTTCACATCCAGGCAGATGGCAGTTGTCCACATCAAGACAATGTATCAGTAACTAACAAGGCCTAAGGCATAAGGCCAGGTTCTGGACAAGGATCCCATTAGAGGGATGGGGAAGCAAAAAGTTAACCTATGGAATACACACTGTAGTTCTTAAGAGATTTGAATACCAATTTTAGAAAAACAGACATAGACTTTAATTCAAAAATGAAACAATGGTCCTCTGAATATTTAATTCGTGATCTTTGAATGTTGTCTTCCTAAGGCTAGGCTTAGTTTGCATAGAGACTAAGATGGCTTCTACTGGGTGTAGAGAAATATGTAAAATCTATGCATCACATAGACCTTGGAAATGATAGATATGTGTATTTGAATAGGTAAATATTTCTGGATCTATGTTTATGATGAATCAGACACCATTAGAGAAATACATTTTAACTATTTACTTTAGCATTGAGATAAATGCCTTATAATGGTAAGCCTTGAAAATTTTACATTTTGAATTACAAGTATTACTAGAGAATACATTTCGGATTAATCTATAAAGCATAAAACTGCAAAATTACACATTTCGTACAATGGTACACAGAATACACTATCTTAGTCAAGTTTTAACTATAACTTTAAAGATATATTTATAATATAGCTCTAGCAGTACAATTTATATAAAATTCATACTTTCATTCTCTGATCAAAAAATTTATCTATTTAAGTCTTAACCTTGATTAAAAATTAAAATGGCTAAGTGTAGGGCATTTGTTTTTAAATATTCATCATATTTTAAGATATTTGACTAGGTAGAACTCTAACATGGACTCTAATGTGTTACTACTTTCCTTTCCTTTTCATTCAGTATCATTCCGCTCCCTGTTTTATAGCCTTCTGACCAAGTATAACTGATTGGGCCAGAGCTGCCAATTCTCTAAAATGGACACAACTACCATTTATCTAAAACGTGATAATCCACTGGACTTTCTCAAAAGTACCTAAGAATATGCATGTAATTATTGTACTGCATTTCTTTATTAAAACTTAGAAAGTAATTGTTCCCTCAAAAGTTTAAATCAAAGGTATATGCAAATATATTATAATTTGTTAAAATAAAGACAAAGATATGATAGTATAGAAAAATTAATTTCAAGTTGAGATCTTAAAGAACTCTCATAAGAGATCTTGTACTTCTTATTGAAATGCAGGATAATTTCTCTTTTCTCTGTACTTGTGAGGTAGATAAAGTAGGTTTTGTCTTTTATGGTTATCATCTATCTTTAAATGAAGGAAATTTCTGCCAGAATTTTCATGTTTTTAAGTTTCACAGACTTTGCAACCAAAGCCTGCTTGTTAAAAGCTTGCTGAAAGAGTGACTATCAGATATTAAAATACTTAATTAAACTGAGATTGACCTCAGTCATTTCATCAATCTAAAATCAAATAGAGAATGTGGCAGGTTAATTCTGTAGCTTATCTACAGCAATGAGCCTATGAAACCAAACAATGATAATAATAAGCTCATAGAATCTGAGATGATGTAAAATTTTTATGAAATTTTCTGTCTGATATGAGTGCAGGGAGGGGAAAAGAAAACAACTTTAGACAAGTCAGATGATAAAAATCCTTACTGTGCATTGAATTTTCTTGCAGTTTATGGTCAATAGTGCAATTATAAAGATATCATCACTGTTGAAATCAACACAGAAAAACTGAATGGTTACCTATTTCTCTAAGTATATGATATTCTCCCTGTTTTCAAAAAGAAACATGAGTCACAAAGGCATCATGATGGGTGTTAGGTCTTTTGTGTATTGGGTTATGATTTATTCATCTGCGTATGTCCCTAGTGCCTTTTTGTATTTAATAAATACATGAAAAGCCTACTTTTGATAGAGGTTTTGGTCACCATTCTCTCTCTGGAATCTTATGACAGATTGTGAATCTTTAATCAGTTTGATCCACATTATCAAGAAGAAATACAGTCACTTATCTTTTTTAAGTTTGCTTGTCGAAATGGTCAAATCTAGCATCTCTCTTTTGAGGGCTTCTGCTCTCCTTAATTCCTCCTGAGAATCTCTAGGCATACACTCAGTCGAAAGGGATCATATTTTGTCCAGATGATTATAATGTTCAGTGCACTACTGACTTTAGTTACATCACTGTCATATCATATATCTTTTAAAAATTGGCTGTACTTAGTATTACTACAATGATACCTTGTTATATAGATCCCTCCATGCTATAATGTCACTTCACCTTTGAGCTAAAATGGTACAGCTCTTTTAGTTCATACTTGCATAATCAGCATAAATACCATAGCTAGGTTGCTGGGTTCCAAGGCCTTTGAATATCAGCAAATGTCTTCACCCAGTAAATTTTAAGCTCAATTGTATTTCCCTTACAGTAAGCACTTCTTTGTGATACTTGGGCTCATTTCTTTCTCAGTCAGAACCATTCTTATCTTTCAGAGCTTCTAATACTGTTAAAACTCAAATGGGATAGGTTTGGGATCCTCTCCTCCCAGGAAAGTCCTTGTCTCTTATATAAATTTGTCTTTTCTTCAAAGAGAACAACTGCATGCCAAGTCTAGAGGTATTATAAGACATCACCTCTGGTATGTATAGAATTTTACCCTTCCTCCATGGAGAGAATGTCCACAGCTTTACAATTTCACAACTAGGGGGCACTACTCCCGCATTTCTTTCTCTAAAACAGAAATTCCAAATTATTACCATACATAGAAACTCATTATTTTTTAGACCTCTTCTTAGACCTTTTTGAGATTAGTCAGGCAAGTTTTGACAGAATTTCATTTTTAGTATTAACCACGGCAGAAGATTAGGATGAGGTGTGGTGTCTAAAATACTCCTCAGCCTAGAAAGTTCTCTGGGAACTTCAGAGGATCCTTAAAAACTCTGGACTGTTAAGTCCCAGAGCATGCTCCATCCCAGCCTGGCCCTGTTCTTTGGGTAAAAGACTAAGATAAGTGGGAACAGACTAAGGAAGAGAGTATCTGAGGTCACTCTGGAAACTCAAAATTCTTCGGGTTAGTTAAAAAAACAAAAACAAAAACTGGAGCAAGCTTTTCCATAGTATAATTCACCTTCTAATGTGCCTTTGAGCCTATTCATTTAACTTGGCCTCTATGGACTAAAATAGGTCATAGGACATCTCACAAATTTTTATGAAGGCATTTTGTAGCCTGGCATAGGTACCGAGAGAAAAAGAAACTTAAAAGTAATCAATGAGACAAATATTATATATTCATAATATATATGTATATATACATGCACAAATACACACACATACAATTTCACAACTAACTCATCTTTACCTTGTACAGGGTGGACTTGATTGTCCAGGACACCCAGAGGTCCTGTTGCCCCCTGGTGGTCGCTGAATTATCACAGATCTTGATACCTAAAAATCCTCTGGGTGAAGAGCTTAAAAATTACAACATGAGAAACCATGGAAGCATGTAGAAGTAATTTGAATAATTTAAGCCAGTTCATCCTATCAATCCTGGTGATTTATGGCAAAATGAACTGGAAGTAATGGAAGAAAAGAGCCTCCCCATGCAAAATCAAGTTTGAAAAAAAAAAAATCCACTAAGAGCACCGAACATGTGCTACTTGATTTCAGGTATAAAGTGCTACATTTTCCTAGCTACATTTTGTTATTTTAATATTACTTAAAAAAAGAGTAATTTGACTGAACACTTTTTAATATTTTAGGTGATTAGAAAATTTCAGTGGTACCTCAGCAATAATATTCAAGTGGACTCATAATTTAGATATAAATTATATTTTTATTTGTTAAACTGTCTGAAATTAACTTGGAAATTGTACTTAAAGAATTATAATTGTAATCTTCTGAACTTTATTTATCTGACTTCACAAAAGTGTGTGAAATTTTACAAAGGCACAAAATAAATTCTTGACTTATGGTTTGATTTCTGACCTCTGACTTCCTATACTTTCAGCTAAATCTGAGCTTAGAAAAATTCATGAATTAATATGTTTTTAATGAGTTTAGGTTATGCACATTTTTTACATTAGACTGCAAATAAATATTTTATATACACTACATAAATCATGTTAATGTAAATATGTAAATGATTTTCCTACACAGTGGAAAGATTGTTTATATTTTGACTGAAATCACAGAATCCAATTTTCTGTAATATCTGTTAACTAAGACATAATGCTTCTTTTCTGCTTATAATCAATTTCTTCTGCACAGTACCTTTTCTAATTCAGTTTAAATTACCCTTTTTCTGTGATGAACTTGCATTTTCACATTTGCCAGCTGTGAATGCATTTTGATGATAAGTACAAAAGTAGTGGGTTCAGAAACAGCCCTTTGATTTCATTGTTGTTAACTATTTAGTTTGACAGTCTTGGATTTGTAACATACTGAAATCTCCAATTGTCCCTTTGCCCTCGAATGGCCTGAATACTAGACACACACAGTATAACCTTTTCTTTCATTTGAAAATTCATAGAACTTATTCCCTGAAGTCATTATAATTTACTCCTATTTCTCTCTTAAAATCAGAGAATATTTCCCAGAGTTAAACAGTGAGGTAAATATTAGTATTGTAACAAGTTAAAACAAAATAGCAGGTGTACCCTCATTTAGAATGTGTCTTGAATTTGGACATTTCCCTACATGTACAGTCATGTGATTATTGGTAATTATACAAATAAATAATACAAAATGCATTAAAATTGGGTATATCTCCTTAGTATCTGAAGAGAGGCGTTTTTCATCTTTCCACTATACATTTATTATAGATGTTGCAACAGAGGGGATATAAAATTGAAATATTAAGGTCTTAGTCTCTGTTTCCATTTACTTAAAATTCACTAAATATATGTGGACGACGCTATCAACTTAGTTGTACAATGAATGCATAAAAATGTAAAACTAGTTTTCAGAATTATTGCTTTGGCGCACAGGTGTTGGTCTCATACACTATTTGGTATTGCTCAGGAAGACAAGTTCCTTTTGAATTCACTTTATATACAAACACATCGCATTATTAAAAATAATTGATTAGAAATAATATGCTTAAATCATAAAATGAAGCTAAAATAAATTGTAATGGTGTGAGGAAGTTCACCATTATGTTATTTTAAAATGAGAAAGTTTTGTATACTGATAATTTTTATGTCAGTGGCTTCATGTACAAATAGGTCTATATGCTTTATCATTAGTCAAATACAGTCGAGTGTAAATTTATATATTAATCATATACTGTATGCTGAACACTGTCTTCTTGACTGTCATTTATTTTTATTTAAATGCTCCGAATTCTTTGTCAATATATCTAGATACTACAAAAGAAAGAAGAGAAGTTTGAAAAACCTAAAAATCAGTATCACTGTGCAGCTATGCAGGGAGAACTGTCAGCAGCCTGGCACATGTGCATTTAATGTGAAGCTTCTTGTCTCTAAAAATAAGAGTAAAGTTACACATGCCCCTGTGTCTGACAGAGAGAAGGGACACAAAAAGAGGACTCACTATACCACCTACACTCATCAGAGGAGTGAAGGATGTTACTTCTTTGGTTTCCTGGTTTTAATGGAAAAGTATTTGTATTCACATCATTGAGTATTAGTCATTCAATAGATGAAAGGAATATTTTAAACTTTAAAGGCCACCTTGGTGTCATTTTAAGAAGTGGGGATGAGACCCTGGGGAAAGTGTTGAAATCCTGGAGAATTCGTTTTAACTATTAGAAGTGGTTTAATATTTGTAAGTTTGTAGTTCTGTGAGTTCTAAAGACTAAGTGCAGGGATTTATGTTTTTAACTCTTATGTTTTAGTTTACAAGTTTCATCCTTAAATCATCTATTTGTGTAAATAAAGCTTCATCTCCTCTATAACAAGTGTGTTCTCCCCATATTTTTTTTTGTCTCTTTCTAAGGTTAATCTATTACGCATTTACATTTTCTATGCATCCTTTAAGGGACACTGAAGATGCTTTTTGATACACTTTCTAAAATATTAAATAGGCATAATGGCTAGGAATATGTAACATTGAAGAAATGTTTCAGAAACTACAGAATCAAAGAGGTTTAAAGAATAAATTTCATATCTCTCTTCCATGTTATTTTATTAGGCAAATAAAAACTACAGGAGACAATTTAACATAAAATACAAATAAATATCTGGGGGTTGTCATCTTAGAGAACTCCCTACTATAAAAAGCAGAAACAACTCAATTTACTTTATATTTCCAGATAGAAAGGTTGGAAAAAGTTTGGAGCCTTATGTGAGATCAAACTTTGGATCTATCGGAAATAAAAGGAAATCATAAATGACTGAGAAATATTTTTAAAGGAAGAAATTATAGGACAAAAAAAGAAATTCATCTTAAACATGTGATCAAGTTACTCTGTGTGACCTTTGAAATTGAAGATTTGGCAATTAAAATTTTAAAGTTCTTCCTCTTATTACCTACCTCTTGAATACAAAGTGTCCGAAACTGCCTAATGGAAAACAGATTTCTCTACGCAGCCTTCCTTGCCGTTCGGGTTGAATGAATTCAACTGGAGATATTGGTTATGACTTTTTTTATTCTTAGTTTCTCTTTGAAAGATAAGCATTGAATAATTCCTGAAAATGGTAAATACTTGCGAAGAGAAAGGTCTTGCTTTATGAATTTAATACGTAGTGGCATTCTTTAAAATTCAGTGTAATTTATGCAGCGAAATGGAAAACTATCAAAGTGGAGGCAATCCAAGGAAAACCTTAGAAAATGATAAACGCGTAAAAAAACGATACGCAACCATCAGAAGGTTCTCTCCTAATGTCTCACTTCGCTCAACAAACTATGGTGAAAAGACAGGGCGGAGGAGAAGGGGCGCTTAAAACAAAAGACTTCCTTTCCCACTCCCTTTTCCTCTGTTTCTTTTGCCAGAGCTTGTTGCAAACTCTTGGAAACATTGTTTAAACATAATACACTTGGTTACTTTATTCTTTCAGGGATTGTGGTGGGTGGTACCTAAAACTGACGGCTCTTGGAGTAACAGAAAAAGAGAAGTAGAAACTTTTCAAAAAGGCAAAAAACAAAGTTACCCAGCCCGCGGAGGTTCTAACAACAAAAAAGTAAAACACACTTTACTTAAAGGCACAGCTCATTTCACTGTCCGGGCTCCGTGCTTGGTAGCTGAGAGAAGGCTTGCTTCGCCTCTGGTTTCTAAAAGATCGCGCGGAGTACAGCTATAGAAAAGAGTGTAAGTTGGGAGCGTTATTCTCGGATTTATTCTGCTACGCGAAAGCTGCGGTTGCTAAAAGCAGAGCGTCCAAAGCAGCACACACCTCGGCTACCATCCTCGTTCTCCTCTGAACATCCAGCGCGAGCTCAGAACCTGGAGGGAATCCTGGACCAGCAACCTGACTCCGCTCGGCACCGATTGGCTCCTGCCTCGGACCCCGCCCCCGTGGCCGGGGCGGCCATTTCGCCGGGACCCGCCCCTTGGCCCTGGGAATCGCCTCCTGGCAGGCCGGCTGTGCCTGCCACTCAGCCCGAGTGGCGGAGGCTCTCAGCTCGGAGCCCCGCCCCCTCCCCCCCTAATTGATATTATTGGAGTGTGGAGCAAGCGGCCGGTCTGCAGTCGGAGACTTGCAGGCAGCAAACACGGTGCGAGCGAACAGGAGTGGGGGGGAAATTAAAAAAAGCTAAACGTGGAGCAGCCGATCGGGGACCGAGAAGGGGAATCGATGCAAGGAGCACAATAAAACAAAAGCTACTTCGGAACAAACAGCATTTAAAAATCCACGACTCAAGATAACTGAAACCTAAAATAAAACCTGCTCATGCACCATGGTTTTTCAAACTCGGTACCCTTCATGGATTATTTTATGCTACATCTGGCTGCTCCGCTTTGCACACACAGGGGAGGCGCAGGCTGCGAAGGAAGGTAAGGTGATGGGAAAGCAAAGTTTGTTCTGACTTATTTATTTAGATGTCTACCTGCACAAGCCAGCTCGTCCGCGGCGCTGCCGGCCGCGCCTCCGGCGCCGGGCGACCCTCCCCCGCCGGCTCCCCGCCCCCTCACCGCTGAGGCCGCTCCTGGCGGACCAGCGAGCGCGAACCAGGGCTGTTCCGAGCCGCCTACAGCCCTGTGCCCGGAGCCGTCCATCCGACGGGTGCGGGATTTCTGGCGCGGGCAGTCTGGAGGGCGTGAGCAGCAACGGGGGTGGGGTGGGGTTGGAGGAACTGCCGGCGAGCTTATTTCTTAGTACCTCAGGCGGGTCACATCTCTCTCTAGCTCGGTCTTCCTTGTCTCCTTATTCGCCTTCTGTGGGAGCTGCGGCCAGAGTTGGGTTGGAGACTGGGAAATGCAGCCCCTACCGTCTCCGCCAGCCCGCCGGCGAGTGGCGGGAGCCCGGAGCCTTCCCAGAGGGACCGAGACTTCGATGAGCTCGGAAAGCTCGGGTTACTAATGAAGTGCTCACTGCGTCGGAGGCGGCGGCGCGGTCCTGCGGTTGGCGCTCGGCCGCCAGCACGGAACAATAACGCCGCGGAGGTGAAGCGCGGCGTGCGGCGCGCGACCCGAGGGCCGGGGATGTCTCCATTCAGCGCGCGCTGCGCGTCGGGCCCAGCGGTCATGGGGGCAGCGGCAGCCCAGCGGGCTTGGTCGGGCCGTGGAGGCAGGGGGCGGGCTGGAGCTGTGCAATTTGTAAGGATGCCGCCTGGGCGACTCAAAGTCCCCAATTATTTGCCCCATAGTGCAGCAATTGAGGAATCCGAGTGCCCAATCCTTGCCAAAGACCTGAACCCTGAGGGTTGGTTCTGGTAGGAGAAGGCAGGTTTTATTTGGCAAGCTGTTACAGATACGCCTGTATATGGTTATGTTTTCCTTCTTTGAACCTTTGACAGAAGGTAAAATACCTTTCGGTGCCTGTAGTTGGAGCTGGGGAAAAATAAACCCTGTCAATGGAAGTCTCTTGCTTTTGAGCAGTGTCACAATCCCATCCCCAACCCCCCTCATCCCGTCGCCCCCCTGGTCTTTCAGGCTGTGTATCTAAGTTTCATTTTTCGATCTGTTAAAAGCAGAAGAGAAATAATTACTTATTCCTGATGTGTAGAGGGAGAGGAATCTGTTATGAAATTTAGGTCATGGTGGTTATCGGGCGGGGTGTTGAGGGGACTTACATATAGGTCCTTGATTCATCTATTTCTGAAAACTTAGTGCACCTTTTCTTTATTCTCATCGTGCACTCCTCTTAGTTCGCTCAAGCCCCCCTCAAACCCGGCGCCAAATTCTAGTCCTTCTTTCAGCCTGACCTTCTGACCCCACTTTCCACATCTGCAACCTGTATAGATGCTGAACCCATTCAGAGAACCCCGTGCCTCCAAGCTGGCGGTTACGCGTTTGCAGAAGGACGGACATCTGCTAGAAACGCACGCTCATCCCCTCCAAAACCACATTTCTACTCCCCTGACGTTAGCGATCAGAAACCTTCAGCCCTGGCATACTGTGATTCCTCTGGAATAGCGGACCAGAGGAAAAGTTTGCACCGCCGCGGCGAAACCCCGCGCGCGAACACACGCAGACTCGGGCTGGAGTTTGGGCTATAAATAACTGCATCACTAGGGGGAGAGGTTCCTGCAGCCAGAATGTCTAGTTCTCTTTGCTCTTCTGGGTGCAAGCTACGTGAAGAGGATTCTGATTCTAAGAGCCTGAATTCTTTAGATGCAGAAGTGTGATGTATAAAAGGCGCGGGGGTGATGGGAGGGAGGGTGGTGATCTGTGGCTGGCGGGCGGCGAGTGCGCCCGGCTTCTAGGCGGCGACGCCTCTAGGGCGCAGCGGCGACCAAGAGCTGGCGTTCTAGGAGTTCACAAGCCCCGAGGCGGCCCGCAGTACCCAAGGGCTAGCGCTGGGAACCGCTTGAAGCAGGTGCCGGGCCTCCTGGGGCATTTGGGGGTGGCTAGAGGAAGATAAGAAACCCCCTTCCCTCACTTTCCTTGTGCACGTTCTCTCGGGTTGGTCAGTTATCATCGCTACAGGGAGCGCGTGTCAGAGTCTGACGCTTGAAGGCAAAGTGCAGCTGCTTACTTTTTCTCTCCGTAAATGCCGCCGCCGCCGCCGCCTCTTCCTCAGAGGAGATGCTTCCCGAAAGCCACTCTCCTCTTCCCGAAAGCCACTCTCCTCTTCCCGACTCCTTCTCGAGCGAGGGCGCCACCGGCTCCCTGGAGTGCCCAGGTCTGGCAGAGGCGTAATGGATGCTTGGCGCGGCTGGCGCGCCCGTCTGGCAGCCCCCGCCCCGCCCCTCCGACGGCCCCGCCCCAGCCCCGGGACGCCAGCCTTTGCCCGCGCGGTCGTTGCCTGGGTCTGTCAGGGCGCGCCCCCAGTCTAGCCCCTCTCCCATCACCTGTTGGCCCACAGGACTCCGGGGCGCGGAGCCCTGGAGTCCTAGGCCTGGCCCCCAGCGTCCGGGTGAGCCGAGGGACTGCGCCTCCGCGGGCGCAAAGGGAGGTCGGCACTCTGCTCCGAGCGGGAAGGGATACGCGCTCTTTTGAGGGTTTAACCAGAGAGCGGACCGAGCAGAAGAGAGACGCACGGATCACTTGAGAGCGGCTTCCGATTAAACGTTCTCGGGCCGGGTTCTGTTTTGTTTTAATTTGTTAGTTTGTTTCTCTCTTAACTTGGCCATCACTGCTGTCTGCTTAGGTCCCTTGCTTCCACCCCCAGGCTGAGCTGAGGGGTAGCAGAATGGCAATAAACAGTAATCTCGCAATGTTTATTTCACTCTCAGAAATGACCCAAGAAGGTCACCTGCATTTAAAATCCTGTTGTCTATATTCAGCACACAAGAAAAATAAAATAAAAATTAAGAAAGCATCTCAAAAAGAGTAGAGTACCTGACCACCCACCTTGTTTCCCTGTGCTTCATGTCTGTTGTTGAGGATAAAAATAAACTTTAAAAATTACTTTTTATATAAATTCGCTAGTCCAACGATTTATCGATGTTACAAGTTGAAATTCAAATTGGCATTTTGAAAGTGTTGTGGGTGTGTTTCTCATTTGAAAGGGAGTCAAATGTTTCTGATCAAGTTTTTTTTTTTCCTGTCAGTCTCCCTGAGAGTCTTAAGTGTAAAACACTAAACAAAGAAACAACAACAACAACAAAACAAAAATCCTGGGTCTCTATATCTATTTTCATTTACAGTGAGTAACTTTGACTAGTGTGAAGGAATTAAACACATAATCAACTGTTCCTTTAAACAGATAATCAGTTGTTCCTTTGTTTTCTTATCATAACACATTTTTGTCTTTCAAATACATATTTTATCCCTAGTGATTGAGTTGTATAATTATTAAAAGTTCATATAAGCATGTATTTTAAGTAAAAATTTTAACATTTTTCTGAGGCTGATGTTAAGCCTATTGACATACTTAAAATTTATTCACTATTATTTCTGGACAAATTGATGCATTTGTCAAAATGGTGTAGAGTCAGATAAATATTTTTAAAGTGCAAAAACTTATGTAACTCTGAAACCAGTTTGACCAAAAGAGTGAGTGCTTTAGAAGAGTAATTGTCCAAAAAAGAAATAAAATATATCAAATAGAAATATTATGTGTATTAATATATAACATTCTAATGCATTCTCATACTGATAGTATCAGGAGCATTTATAACACTTTATATACATTTTAAATTAATCGCATTATGCTTTTTGATAGCATAAAAGTGAAATACAAGTGATTAGAAGTCAGAGTTGATACCATTTTGAGAATTATCTATCACTTTGAAAATTAAGAAATTAAAAAAAATGCTGAAAAAACTGATGCTTGACTAACCTGAATAAAATCTTGCAAATAATAGGCAATTTGGTTTTCTGATAACATTGCTTAACAGTTTTTAACATTTCTGTATTCATTTTAGCTTAACGACACTGTATGTGGAAAGATTTTTTAAAAGATAAACTCCAATTCTCAAAAGACAATAGAAAATACTGCTGGCAGAATGTTACAAATTAATGACTGGATCAAGAGTAATATAGGAATTATACCTTATTATGTTCATGTTATTGTATTTGACAAATTTGAACAGCTCAATGGTTTACAAAACCGTAATATATAATTACTGTGGAATTAATGTATCACATATAAAATTTCTACCCTCATTCTAATATTGCATTTTAAGATTTAATATTGTAATTAAAGCATACCAAATATAATATTGGTGTCTTAATATCTTTTTTCCTTTAAGGAAGTGGAATATACATGTATCAGGAGGGTGTTCATTTCACCATTGATTTACATAAATAACTACAGATCTTAAGTCATATAGTGATAGTTATATGAAAAGATTCACCTTAAAAATGTCTACATGTGTGCGTAAGTGTTTCATGTAACATATGGAAATACAACTTTCTTTTTCAGTACTACTGCTGGATTCTAAAGCACAACAAACAGAGTTGGAGTGGATTTCCTCTCCACCCAATGGGGTAAGTTTTTTTCATCATAAAATATCACTTTTTTAAAATAAGAAACAAAACGTTTCCCTTCCCTCCAGGGTAATTATTCACACTCTTCATGTATAAACTGTTTAATTCCAAATATCTTGTCCAATATTATGTTGCATTTATAATGAGACATTGAGTTCCCTGATTAGAGAGGGTATACTTAGAACTTGGGGAAATGGAAAAAAAACCTCATAGCCATAGTCTTTTGAGTTCTTATTGTGTGGAATCATACCTCAGGGTCCAGGCTGTAAATGCTAACTAATTACAGGGAACATTCCTTTCACAAACTCACTTAAACCTCTTTAGTTGCTTTATATTTCTAGTATAATCACCATGTCAGTGGTATATAATTCTTTAAATCAGTATGTAATCAATCTGTTTTCCTATTTTTAAAAGTTTCAGCATCATTCAAAATGTACTTTAAAATATAACTAAAAATGTACTATGTTCAACATTTTGGTATACAATTTACTATAAAATATTATATAGATTCTCCAAATTTATATTATGTGCTATCCGCTGTTATTAATCAGAAATGATGGCAAAGCCTGCACATATTACAATAAAAATCTGCAATAGATATGAGTGAAAATTGTCCAGTAATAACCTACCAAAATATTAGTAAATCTTTAAAAATACTAACCATTATTTTTCATATGTAAATGTAGCTCAGTATCCGTGTCTTCAGATCTTATTTTTAATTGTGAGAGAGGGCACATTCTTTATTCCTTATCAAGTAAGAGGGCTTTGAGAAAGGAGAAGATACCCTATTGCTATTTGTGTTTATCTTTGGCTTATTAAAAACCGTGTGGAGTGTAAGTTATGATACAAAAACTGTAGCATATTTTGCAAAGAGAAGAATGAAAGTTTGAAAGAGATTGTTGAGATCATAAAATCAGCATGTCAGGAACTGAAAGTTTAAGAATGTAAAATATGAACAAAACAAATCTGTTTAAGATATTTAGAGTTTTCATTAAATTTAATTTTTAAGATTCCTTTCATTCATATTGTGGTTATCTGTATTGGTTATGATAAATTATAAATCAATGACAACCATTTTACAGATTAAATATAAAAATTCCATGAGTTGGAGGTATGAATATAACACCTTTCTTGAGATAAGTGGTTTCTGTAAGTAAAATAATATACATTATAGACAGCCATTCATGATAAAAAATGAAACACCTTTCTTGCCAATGACAGATGTAGCCCATTTTCTACCATCCATCAATTAAAACAAATAGAGATAGAGGATGGTTTTATCTCTGAGGAGAAGTAAACTGATATATGATTGTAGTATTTCATCCATGTAATACACAAAATGACAAATTATGACTGTCAATGTTATCTTGGACTCAAATGGGCATTTTATCAGTCCAAAGTATCTTAACAGTTAACCCTACATGTCTGTAAACATCAACACATAATATTAGAAAACAATGATGGACAATATTTTCTATATCTGTGCAATAGGTTAGTTTGCATGTGACTAAATACCTAACTAAAAAAAATGTTCTTGAGATATAAGTTTTGAGAAAATATTTCTATAAACGTACTATAAAAATGCAGTGTCTGAATGAAGACATTTTTCCCAATGGCGTCATTTGTGGAAATGTTCATAATGTCTTAGAAAGTGAGATAATAAAACAACAGTTGTGTTAAATGAATTTATGTAGTCTCAATGTTTGTAGTCTACATCATAGTTTTCCTGAAGCATTCCCCTCTGGAATAAAATTTTAAATAAAAATAAAAATTAATTGGGTTTCAAGGGTAGTAAAATTGATTTTTCTTATACAGAATAAATGAATAAATTTGTTCTCGAAGTTAGATAAAGGAATTCTTAGGCTATATTCTTTTAAAATAATTAGCTTTGGTTTCTTCAAACTGCAGAGTTGTTAAAAAGGAGCACATTTATCTTTGGAGCTTTTGATTTTTTGGTAGATATCATTACTAGTTTTACTTCTTTCAGCAATTTCAATCTAATTAAGAGACTGAAATCTAGCCATCCAAATGGATGAATTTGGTTATGTTTGGCTGATTGCCATTCAGATTGTAGGCAGCTAACTGAAACAAAGGGAAGCTAGGCACACTGTTAACTAGTCACAAATGCAAGTTGAACTGAGTAAAAGCTGAACATTAAAATGGGTTCTTTACTACATTTGAGTACCTTTGATGGTATTAGACTGTGTATAACAAAATCACACCAAATATATAACATCATCAAAGAAATTTCTGAATTGTATTATATTGCTAATTTGTCAGTCTTGTTAATTTTCTAAGGACTGGTTTTAAAAGTATACATTAATATTGTACAGAACATTTAAATAAATCAATACTCAAATCAAGTATTTAAAATAAAAGTATTTACCCATGATTTTTATTTTCTCATCTTTTCTTGAAACAATAGTTAAAATATTGCATGCTATGCAACTTTGGACTTGAACACAAATGTTTTGTATTTGAATTTTTTATTGGGGAAATTAATATTAACATGACAATTTCATTATTAAGACATCATAAATACAAAGTGGGAAAATTATTAATAATTGTACGAAGAAAACAAACCATTCATTTAGGCTTTTAAGATTCCTAGGTGAAATGATTTTATTGATTAATGAGCGACAGAATATTATATATGGTTTAATAGTTTGAAATTGTTGCAAATTCTGACAAATGCACTTTTTTTCCTTTTTTGAGAAAATATTTAATATAGATTTGTTTGTAATGTACATTATATCAACATATAAATGGACATTTTTAAACATCTGATATTTTTCCTGTCAGAAGGTTTATACTAAATATGATCCAGCATGCAGATTTGCCATGTACATTTGATTGTCTATTGAAAGCAATTTATTTATAAAAATGAATCATACTCTTATAACTACTTATTTATAGTTATGTGGCTTTGTATGTGATATTATATATAACACTGGAATAAATAAATAGCTCTGTAAAATGTTACTTCCTTATATCTCATTTTGAAACGATTGTAAAATATTCCAAATTATAAATATCAACAGGTTGTTGAATGGTTTATTCAGAATACCGTGGGCATTTTCTTCTTCATGTTTTTAAGTACTCTGTAATCGTAAGTATGATATGGCCACTTAAAATGTCAACTGAGTTATCAAAAATTCTGCCAGGCATCCATATGTATATACTTTCACTGATAATTTAAATAATTGTGAGCTTTAGTCTATAAAAATTATAATCTCAATGGAGAACATAAACATAAGCAAACATGTAAAAAAGAAACACTAATATACTCACAGAAAGATATTAAACAAAATGAAATATTTATTGTATGTATACACAAAGCAAGCAGCATAAGTATGTTCCACCACCAGGATGAAGCAGAACCTGGAATCTTACATTCTCTGGTTTATAGTTTTGCCAGCATAGGAATCAACCTAACTTTTTCGAAGATCTGTATTTGTGAAGTACTTGCACTTTCAAAAGCAAAATGTTATTTTTTGCTGAATGACTGATGACCTTTTTTCAAATTTTACAGTGGGAAGAAATTAGTGGTTTGGATGAGAACTATACCCCGATACGAACATACCAGGTGTGCCAAGTCATGGAGCCCAACCAAAACAACTGGCTGCGGACTAACTGGATTTCCAAAGGCAATGCACAAAGGATTTTTGTAGAATTGAAATTCACCCTGAGGGATTGTAACAGTCTTCCTGGAGTACTGGGAACTTGCAAGGAAACATTTAATTTGTACTATTATGAAACAGACTATGACACTGGCAGGAATATAAGAGAAAACCTCTATGTAAAAATAGACACCATTGCTGCAGATGAAAGTTTTACCCAAGGTGACCTTGGTGAAAGAAAGATGAAGCTTAACACTGAGGTGAGAGAGATTGGACCTTTGTCCAAAAAGGGATTCTATCTTGCCTTTCAGGATGTAGGGGCTTGCATAGCTTTGGTTTCTGTCAAAGTGTACTACAAGAAGTGCTGGTCCATTATTGAGAACTTAGCTATCTTTCCAGATACAGTGACTGGTTCAGAATTTTCCTCTTTAGTCGAGGTTCGAGGGACATGTGTCAGCAGTGCAGAGGAAGAAGCGGAAAACGCCCCCAGGATGCACTGCAGTGCAGAAGGAGAATGGTTAGTGCCCATTGGAAAATGTATCTGCAAAGCAGGCTACCAGCAAAAAGGAGACACTTGTGAACGTAAGTAATGTGTCCTATTAAAACTCCACTTTGCCTTTTTAAATTTCAGTATCAGACATTTTAAACTTTAATAGTTATTTGAATACGTGAATCTGCTCTGTACCAGAAGCGCAATTCAGTAGATCTTAAACAAAGTCACCGTTGAACTTAGTGATTGCCCTACAGTAGCATCTGCACTAAGTGTATGTAATCAATATAGGTGATAATGAAATTTGTTACTAAAATTTAATGTGTCCTATGCTTAACATGGAAGTCAATAGTTGCACGTTGGGCTATGGAGTTTAGAGAGGAGTCTGGGTAGTTGGACATATAGCCTGGCAAGACTGAGGTGACATTTAACAGGATTTAATGAGATGCCATTCCTCCTGTTTTTAAACCCATATTGTCTGGGCCCTTGAGTAGCAGTAAATAGGAGGTTAAGAGGGCTGTGAATAAGAGCTCTAGTGACAGGCAGGGCATAAACGAATATATTTACAAACTTTTAGAATTATCTTATATAAATACTATAACTTTAATACAAAATTTTCAAATTTCACTTACAAAATCTCTGTGGTTACTTCTGAGAAAGGTGTGTGTTTTTTTTTTTTTTTTTTGGACTAAGTACCAAAATGACCACATTTTTGTGAAAGTGGGCCAAAGTAAAGTTTTAATTATTATAGTACACCAATTGCATGTTTTGAAACAATCATGTATGAATTAGTAAACTTTTTTCTTTGTTTTATAAAACCGTTTTTTTTCTTTCCTAGCATTATGTGGCTAAATATTTAAAACTATGTCATATGGACCTTCAAGATTGATAGATATTCTGTTTCTAGGTTTCATGAAAATAAATTATAAAGTTATGTTACTAGTGTCTCTTTTTAACTTATATAAAACATAATACATTAAAAATAACACATATATCTATATTTATTTTTACACCAGAGCCAGAAGCACAGGTTTTATACTTGGAATTCTTAGTTGAGCTAAAGGAGACTACTGATAATAATAACTATTATAACTAATTTTTCTTGATAACTTAGTATGTGCAGACATCCTCCATTTCCTTTACATACACAAGCTTATTTAATGAGGTAGGTATCATTATCATTTATGTTTTACACAATAAAAAAATAGAGGATATCAAGAGTAAATAGCTTGCTTGCAGTTACGTTAGTAATATTTGTCTGAGCTTAAATTCAAACTTGAGATATTCTGACTTTAGAGCCTAGGCAACGATATTGCCCTAGTTTTAATCACAAAGCAAGGAGAATCCTAGGAAATACTGTTTCAAGGCTCATAGTGTTTAGGTGCCTCATATACATATATAAATTGGATTACTTCCCCATAAAATTCTCATTCTAGTAGAATATTTTTAAAATTAAATAATTTTTAAAAAGTTTAGACCTGTGCTATATAGTACTGAACCCAGCAGCCACGTGTGGCTCTTTAGGTTTTGAAAAATGACTATTAAACATTGAGATGTGCTGTAAGTAAAAGTTACACACTGGATTTCAAAGCTGTACTGCAAGAAAAAAAAAAGAAAAAAAAGTAACATATGTCCTTAACAATTTTTAAATGTTGATTACATGTGGAAATAATCATATTTTAGGTATACTGGGCTAGATAGAGGATAATGTTAAAATTTCAGCTGTTTCTTTTACTCTTTTTTAGTGTGGCTAGAAATTTTAAAATTGCATTTGTGGCTCACATTGTGTTTGTATTGGATATACTTTTCAAATGGAGTAACTGAGCAAATACCTTTTTCTGTCCTATTCAAAGAGTTAAATACTTCATGTGGATGGCTGCTAAGCATGTAAAGTACCTATGGCTCTGCACTCAATTATCATCTTCACCAGAGGTGACATTGTGAAGTGAACTCTGAGCAAAACAAATGGAGATGATATAGGTTCAGGTCCCATAGACCAGTTTAGCAGTCTCCTTTTATGTCCCTGAAGGAGTCAAACCTGTCTCCTATTGTCCTGTTTCCCTTTCCCTCACTGGCAGTATTTCTAATTGAGTAGAAAATCCTGCAGTTTCCATATATGTGGAAATCAGAAACTGATGAAGATTTATCCCTGCTTGTAGGCAAAATGCTATTCCACTGGGTAAGTAGAGAAATATTCTCAGTGAACTAATCAATTCAATGAAAGGCAGCGTTCCTGTTGACAGGAGGTTAACAGTTACTTGAAAGTGATGGTGGATTCAGCAGTAACTGTTACAAAAAATTTTAGGAACATTATTGCACTTTAGCTATGAAAGGAGCAGTTTCAATATTATGCAGAACTTGATTGATATGAAAAAGGAACTTAAAACTTTTACACAATTAAAATGGGAAAAATAACGAAGTAGAAATACATATAAAAGTACACAATTAAATTTATCTGAGAAAAGATAGGAAATAACATTAAAGGCCCTGTGTTTTAAAGGTTTTAAAGAAGATTACGGGTTTTTGTGGCAGTTGTTTCACTTTGTATAATTTAACTCATTTATTTGTTAAGAAAATGTGATTTCCACATTTATTCATAAGAAAATGTGAACAGGAGCTGTTTGAGTTTTATGCTTCTAATTATAGAATTTAGTAAGAAAAGCAGTCTTAAACCACAGTAAATAGATATATTTATCATGAAAAATAAACCTCAATTTATTTCAAATGAGAAAAATCATCTCATCAAACATGGTACTGTAAAATTACTTACATTCATCAAATTTAATTGCAAGAATTGAAACATTTTACTACCAAAATTATTGTTACCTGCAAACTATACCAAGGTATTTAAAAATAAAATAAAATTACTCCACTGTCATCTTCATTAATTCTGCTTTTGAATACTTGAAATTAGGTATTAATATTATAGTAACATTTAATTAAAAATAAAAATACACGGTTAAAGGAGGCAAGATGCTGCCTTATGGTTTAATCGAAAGAATATGTGTGCGTTGTTATAAGTCAAGTAAATTGCTTATGACATAACTTTCTTAATTTTTAGCCTTGGTGATGTTGACAAAAGAATTAAATACCTTCTACTTAACCATGGAACTATGTTCATTTGCAAAAACACTTCCCTCCTTGGCATAATTCCAATGCATTGCTGCAAGAGTACTTGCCTCTGGAATCACTCCAGGCTTGCCTTTATAGTATTCTTCCTGTTTCCTTTCAATGATCCTGTTAAGAGTTTGAAAACAAATTCCAGTCCTATATTGAGGAAAACTAATGTGTTTGGGAGAGGATGCTAGTGAGTCCCTAGCCAAATGAGAGTGGTTAGCCACTTAAAGGCAAGTTTATCTGGGCACATTTTGAAGTAGCAGCCCATTGTGATGTTTGCTAGAAGACAATATGAAATATAAATAACTATAAAAAACTGATTGTAGGTTTGATGAGTTGATGTAAAAGCTTTTCTTCATGACTGAAAAAATAGCTCAATTTTGAAAACCAAATGCTTCTCAAGTCTAATATGTGGAGAACTTCTGTCCAATTCTTAAACATAGTATTTTTATGAGGACATCTCTTTATATTGATTTAAGAATTTATAATTTCATTTAGTATACTTTTATTGTCATTTTTTAAAATTTACAAGTTATGTAACAACTTTGATGCAAACTAGCCAATACATTTTCTTAGATAAAAAGTATAGTTATTTTAAAAATTGAGAGATCCTGTTATATTTTACATATGTAAATATTTCGGGAAGACTAATAAAATAAATATACTGAAGTATATTTCAATTTTTGTAACTTTTATGCAATTTTATTCGATTTAGAAAGTAGAATAGTGCTTGTCAAAGTGTGGATCTGGATATTATAACTTGGATTTGCATAGACAGTTTGCAGTTTATACTGAACAGTCACATTCATTTTCTCATTTAAACCTCACCACATCACTAAGATGTGGAAAATATTATTATTTTTCTCTTTCAACATATGAAGAAACTGAAGCTCAGAGATATTAATAAGTAACAAAATTGGATAAGAATTCAAAAATCCTGTTTACCAATTCAAGTCTTTTTTCCTCACTCCACTACTTCTCTAAAATTTGTTCTGGACTTTACCCAGTAGATTTTAGTTACTAAAAAACTAATGAAACTTTATTCTATGTAGGGTGACCATATGCCCGATATGCCTGGGATAATTGTTTTTTTTAATTAACACTGCTTCTTTTTGCTTTGAAAAATGTTTTTTTTTATTTGGATGATAATCCTACTTGTAAAAAATTCTTCTCATTTGGAAGTAAAAAATTCAAAGACATAAGATTTACATGCACATATATCAGAATATAGAAATGTGATTTACTTGCATTACTATATTGCTTAATTTAAATTTTCTGAAAGCAAATATGTAAAATTTTTCTTTCAGATGATTTCATGTAAAGGGGAATTCAAGTAATCATACACTTATAATTTTTATGAGAACTTTTCCTAATAGCAGCTTTTTAATAGTTTCTGTTAATGTTAAGAGGTCTATCATTATTTTAATAATATATAATTTATGAACATATGTATAATTTAACAAATGAAACAATACATTCAATTTTATAGCATCAGCAATATTTAAATTCTGTTTCTTGATCAAAGTTTTTGAAAACTGCCTTTATTTTCGCAGACAAGTAGCATGTAATTTGTACCATGAAATTTTCATAACAAATGAGTCTTTATATAGTATTTATAATCATTTATATATATATATATATATATATATATATATATATATACACACACACACACACACACACACACACACATATATACAGAAATATAAGAAACACCAGTGGGTTAGTAGCTCAGATGCCGGAGTCACAGTTTCAAAATGCTGGTTTCACAACTTATTAGGTGCATAAAGTAGGACAATCTCTCCAAACCTTAATTTCCTTAAGTATAAAATGGGGCTAATAGAAACCCTCATAGGGTTCTTGTCAGAATTGAATGAAGTAATGTATGTACAAATCCTAAAAATAGCATGTGGGACATAGCAAATAATCAATGAATGCTTATCATTAATAATAAAACAAGGAATTTGCTAAGTAAAGAAACCTCATGGTGATGAACAAATGAACATGTATCTCACAGGCCACAAATAGTTAAATATCCTTTAAGCAAGTAATTTCACACCTGTTAATTTATCTAAGAAGGCATTTCAATTAAAAAATATTTTACATAACCCTTTTTTTCCACCAGCAGTGTATGCAATTTTAATTATTGATAATAACCTAAATGTCCAAAGTTAAGGTGTATCACCTTGATTGAACTTACTCTATAGAATATCAATGATATTATAAAGGAATTTTGAATTTCTATTAATAATTTTGAATGAAAAACAAAAATTTGTATAAAATGACATTTAGAATTATGCAAAATATACATAGGAAAAAGAGTAGATGGTAGTCTAACAATGAATGTATCCATGTAGTGGGATTGTGGGTGATCTTTTGTTCTGTCTATAATTCAAAACATCTTGAACATTAACTTTTATTTTTGTACACTATAATTTTAAGTTCTAAGTAACCAGGTAGCTTATATAAAGACAACTTGAATTGTATCTCCAAAATATGGGTTTTTAAATTAAGTTTGTTTATGTATAAACACAGGGCTCAGGTACTATAGCAGTAGTAAGTGGCAAATATAGTTTAAATTATATAAAAGGTAGAAGATATTAATAGAAGGCATTCAATAAATACAGCTCATAGATTTTGTTCGTTTTTAGTTGTTAATAGATACCAAATCCTATTTTAAGTACTTGCATGTATTAAGTAATTTAACCTTAAAGGGAGGTGTTACTAATTTAGTCTAATAGAATGAGACTATTATTACCCAGTTTAAAAGAGAAAAAATACTCTTACCGTGAGAAGTATATGTCTCTCTCTCTCTCTCCCTCTCTCTAAACATGTGTGTATATATATATATATATGATTATATGTATACATGTATACATATATATGGTTATATATCTTATATAAGTTTGTATATATATAAATTCATGAATAAAAACAATGTAAGGAAACTGAAGCATAGTTACTTTGGGTTAAGTACTTATGATCACAGAGTGGTGAACTGCTTTTTAATCAAGCTAGTCTGGCTTCCGAATCCTTATTCCTAACCAATACCCTGGATCATGTCTTTATAGAGGAACATTTTATCTATTGCAAAGTCTTTTATGAACATAAACTTTTTTCAGAACATCTTGAAAGGTGATACAAATCTGAACATTTTCTTTCATTTATCATAATTTCGAAATATGTGTCTCTACCTTTCCTAACATCCTAAATATTTCACTTGCTTTGTCATTCTCTTTTTGATTCCAGTTTTTTCTTTAGATGGCCATCAGATTGTATTTTGTAAAACACAACATAGTATCATTATTCAGAAAGCTTCAGGCTTCTAATTACCTAGAAAAATTGTCTGTATTTTAAACTTGCATGTAAATTTCCTCATCTTCACCTTATTTTCTTTTCTAACTTTCAGTCACATTTTTATCACAGTTGAAGCCCCTGCTCCCTCTGCCTGATACTGTTCTCTCACTCTGCCTTAAGCATGCCCATAGATATTTCTACGATGTCTCATTATTTAACATTTGGCCTCAACTAAAAAGAAAAAAATTAACAATTATATATCTCACAATTTTCTATTATACTTTAATTATATGCATTCTTGAAGAGGCTTCCCTAGCTTCTTTTTCAAATTCTGATGTTGGTTACTGGCGGTACCATTCTCCTTGTTCTTAATCTATCTTGTTTTTTCCTACGTAGTTACCATATATTTTCTTATGGTCTCCCGGTTGTAGAAATTCTGCCTTTCCTTAAAATATCAATTTAAATACCACGTATACCCTGTTAGGTGATCTCTCCTTTTTCTTTTTTTTTTTTTTTTAAGAGATGAGTGTTGCCATGTTGCCCAGGTGGGAGTGCAGTGGCTATTCACAGGTGCAACCATAGTAGATCATAGCACACTACAGCCCAGCACTCCTGGGCTCAAGTGATCCTCTCTGCCTCCACCTCCCAAGTAGCTGGGACTGCAGGCATCTGCCACTATGCCTGGCTTCTCTTTTTGAGTACTTAAACTTTGCCCTTTCCCTAGGGGAATCATTGCATGCTATCTTATTTTATTCCTTGTCTTTTCCTCTTAAAGATTCTATTTTTTTAAACAGCTAAGCCTTGTGATTTTTTTTTTTTTACCTACCCGCCATGATACCTAGCAGTTTCTTACACCACCTTAGCCTTCCAATAAATATTTATGAAATTTCTTAAAGAATTACTCATAAACTATCCACTGGCAAAGCAAAGATTTTCTTTCTCTGAATTCATTTAATTCAGTGAATTTAAATTAATTTCAATGCAATTAATTGAATTTCTTGTATATGGCTAGTCTGTATGAGTAGTCTTCAACTTTGTGAGGATGGGAGTCCTTAACTACATTCCATTTTCCTCATAGCAAATAACAGGATAAAGTGCTAATAATTAGCAAACATAAACAAGACTGTCTTCTGGAGTTGAAGAATTTATTCATGTGAAGATAATATAACTGTTATCTATTGTCACATTCTCATGCTTTCTTACTGTCTTTATGTGTCTTTTCAATTTCTCCCTTTTCTTCTCTGAGGAAACAAAAGGCATTTCACCCTTGTTAGCATTATTTATGTCTTAAGAAACAGAGATCTAAGAGCCTGCTAACATTTTCTATATTAAGAAGGCCTTGAAGTGTGTTTATATTTATATTATATGGGAAAGCAACTTTTGTTATAAAATTATATTGTTTGCTTCCAAATTATATATTATAAATATTAGTTTGGATTGCAAAACAAAAAATAACAGAAAGAAACAAAACATGATAATTATCCCTAAGCTAATATTACCCTATTGTCTCTGTAAGTGGGAAATTACATAAATTCCATATTATGTCAAAACATTTTTCTCCTATTTGAGTTATACCTACACATATTACCTTTACAATTTTTTATGTCCTTCATTAAATTATTCACATTCAGAAACTCAAAATACTTGTTTTAAGACATTTTTGGATAGGTAACATACACAGATCTAGAACAAATGTCATCCCTGTGACCCAGTTCCACAGTATATTTTTCCAGGTACAACTATTGTTATTAGTTTCTTGTGTACCTTGCAAAGATAATTGCTCTTACCTTCCTTAAAAACATGGAGAAATATCATTTTGATGCTTAAAATTAGAATCATGTCACAATTTCCAATTAGAACATTGTAGGTTTTATTTGAAATTATACTTCTTTTTACCCATATTTAGTCATCTTTGTTCTCACAATGCATTTAACATGGTACTTGTTTCAGTAAATAAAGAAGGATAGAAAGAACTGATGAAAGGGGGGAGAACATAAGGAAATACGGAAGGAAATAGGAAACTAATGTGTCTGATTTAGTTTTCTGTGGTTTGTTAGTTTAGTGTGACTTCAGAGTGTTTCTAATTAACCTAGCATTGGGAAGTATATGGTCAGTCTTTTATAAATTTCTAGTGGAAGTTTAAATTGGCATCGGTTTCTGGCAGGCAGTTATAATACAAATCAATTATGCCTTAAAATTTTGCATTTGATTTGTTTTTCTGTGTAATTCATAGCTATTTTCTCTAAGATAACCACTAATCTATGAAATATTCATGATGATATTGTCTATCATTAGTTATTTTATAGAAATAATATTTTCATGGGAGAATTTTGACACAGCTATATATTTGATATTTTTCTCTATGTCCATACAAATATGATACATGAATACCAAAGGAAAGATTTCAGAAAATCTTTTTGTTTCAATTTTTCTCACATTTAAATAGCTTTAAATTACCTCATCCCCTGCAAAATATCTCACAAATTTAGTTTTATGGATGCATGTCTTCATTAGGATATTAATGTAAGTTTAATATGTGAAAAGTAGAAGGTCACATGCACATATAAGTTTTTATTTTTTAATCTGGTAGTAAAACAACTCAATTTAGAAATTAGTTCAAATTAATGAGTTATAGATGTTATTTTTTTTGTTTTCTACCCGTGTTACACACTTTGGCTAAAGTTATAGAATCTGTAGGTATATGTTACAATATTAATCTCGAATGATAGCATTTCTCAGGAAGCCAAAGTGATACATCAGCTGAAACAAATGTACATTATTTTTCTTATATTCTGTGATTTTGTTAAGAGTTATGGAAGGTTTATTATTTAATTTACTTTGTTTAGCGTCGATGAATGACATAAGAACAAAGAAACCCAGGGAAAATGCACTCTGGGATGTAATAGTTTGAAAGTTTTTTAATGGTTATATTTTTTATGGATTTTGAATTTTTTCATGTTATTTAGTCATTTAAGTTATTTACTGCTGATGATTATGTTATCTCTTGCTCCTAATGTATTAGAAAATCAGGGGGCTTTGAAAGGACACATACTGTGTTTAATATTTTGTTTCATGTGTCACCCAATTAGCACCTAGTTTAACCCCTGGCCTGTGGTGATGGTAGCCTCAGACTTACCCTGAACCCATTAACACTGAATTACAACCTTACAGAGAAAACCTAGATCTGGAGAAGAGATCACTGTGATGCTTTTATGAATAAAGCATAATATCAATCTGATACAATATTAACTACATATCATACATTTATCATTTTTAAGTTGAATGATTCAAAAATCTATTACATTAGTATAACCTAGTCTACTTTTTAAAGAAATCATTCTTGGTAGGCACAGCGGCTGATGCCTGTAATCCCAGCAGTTTGGGAGGCTAAGGTAGGAGGATTGCTTGAGGCCAGACGTTTGAGACCAGCCTGAGCAACGTAGTGAGACCCCAGCTCTGCAAAAATTGGAAAAGTTATTCAGGTGTAGTGGTGTGTGTCTGTAGTCTTAGCTACTCAGGAGGCTGAGTTGGGAGGATTACTCCAACCCAGGAGGTTGAGGTCACAGTGAGCAGTGAGTGATAATGGTACCACTGCACCCCAGCCAGGGTGACAGTTAGACCTTGTTTCTAAACAAAACAAACAAAAAAGCAGGGCAGGAATCATTCTTTCTAAAAGAGAGTTGGACCAGGAGAGGGATTAGGGGTGAATGGATAGGTGTGGAGGGATAGAACACATCTAAAAAACACTTGTATATGTGGAGTTGCTTGATAAAATAAAAGCTTATTCTGAGAAAAATAAATGAAAGATTAGTAATTCACTGTGCAATTCTATATTTCCAGTGATTTATATGTTCCCTGTTTATTTTAATAGTAGTTTACTATCATTATTTGCTAAACTAGTTCTCATATAGAAAATAATACCAAATGGCATTAGCTTACTTAATGACATTAACCTAATATATAGGTTAAATAAACCTAATGGATTTTTAAAATGTTTCATAATATCTTCTACATTTATCCCAGTAAAATAAGTGACTTGTATTATATAATGTCCCTATTTTAGTTGACATTTTCCTATAAAGTACTTTTATCCTCGAAGAGAGATGTGCGGTAGGATATGCCCCTCACCCACTCAGATATGATACACTCTTTATAACACAAAAGTTCTTTGGGCATTCTTGTACTCCTTTAGGGCATAATCTCTTTCAAGACAATTAATATTACAAATTCTTCAAGTTTGAGTGTGCCTTAAAGATCATCAAAGATAAATTAGAGGGTTTTTTTAGTCTTTTTATTTTTAAATAAATGGGACAACTAAAGTCCTCATTTATACTTCCAACAGTTCATTAATGACAGATTCAAAAGTAAGTCACATCTTACTCTTTCCAGTTTCCTTTCTCCTTTGCCAGTACACACACATAATACATATACACACACACAACCACAGATATCCAAAAGCACGCATATATAAATACACTCATATGTATGTGCACGCGCACACACACACAGAGCCAACAAGAGGGGAAAACAAAAGTCAACATAGTGGAGCAAGAAAACAAAATATCTTCTTGAATCATTTTTAGATTTCCAAATTTCTATGCATTAATTCCTTAATTTGGGAGTACTGAATAGTTAAGATTTCTTTTCTATGGAAATCTCAATTTACAATTAAAAAGAGGCTAAAAAATCCTGTAGAATATTATTGAATTATTTCACATTTTAAAAATAATAAAATAAAGCTACTTCAATAAAATCTTTAAATATTGCTTCACAGAACAACAAAGGTGTAAACAAACTTCTTTATTTTCAAGTAGATATTTAGGTTTTCTTTATCATATGGAATACTTGAAGGCTATTTATGTCTGGGAAGGGAAGAGAAAGTAAACTTCACTTTTTATATACCTCTAAGTTTCTGTGGTATTTTAGAACAAAAGAACACAAATTTTAGCAATTAATGATTAGGAAATGTGTTTTAAAATGAGAACAGTGGGCACCTCTTACGTGATCAGAAACTGAAGATTTGTGCAGGAGCAGAAGTTTTGCTGTTTTACCATGTGATTTCTGACCAGATCTCCTCTGAGAAACCTTTAAACTTTAACCTCTCTGCCCTTGCAAGGGAAAAGGGGCAATCACCCTTCTGCAATATCTGTTTCTCAAAACTGACTTTTAAAATTAACACATGTTAAGCTTAGACATTCAGGCTGTGAGCTGGAACTGGGAAAACACGTGGCTCAAGAGTTATGTTGAGACAGTGTTTTAGTTTGCAAAATAAACCTGACAGGAAATTTTAAAGTTCACTATTTAGCACATGTTCTTTACTGTGTCTAATGTTTATTCTGCACAAACATTATATACAGGAGAACTGTGTTTTTAAGAGCTGAACATAACAATTGGATCATTTCCCTCCTTTGTAAATTTTTCCAATGAGACAATTACTACTCCAAATTCAAACAGCTCTCTTGTTGATTTTCAAGATTATTTACTAGGACATCACTGTGTATGTATTCATCCTCTAATATGCCTCATCCTTCATTATAATAAAGTGTCTCTTCTTTTCAATCCCTGTTCCATCTGATTTCTTTTTTTTTTCCTTCTCCATCTTCTCTTATAGTGTTTTAGACACTGGCATTAAATGTTCATTTATCTTTGAGAAAATTCTACACTATTCCTTTAATGGAAAGATAAATAGTAATTTCAAAATAAAAATTACAAATCATACGGTATGGCACATTTTCATAATTTGAATTCTGGCCTTTTTTATAGAGCTAAGAAAATAAATCACACTTTGATCAATGCTGAAGGTTATAGTCTCTTTTGTAACATTTGGACGGTGACTTGTATAATTCCAGAATTACCACTCTCAATCAATACTGTAAAGGAACTCAGCCAAGATGTTTATAAGAGTACTTAATCAGTTAAAGTTCTTAATCTTTATTTTTTCTGAAAGCTGAAGTAGTTCTGTTATGGTGTGTTTCAATTTGAGAAAGAGAAATGGAGACCAATAACAAATAAGAATATACAAATAATATATAGAAATAGTTTTTGCTGCCAGGAAGATAGATTAAGGGTGAAGAGGTAAGAGTGAACAAGGTTAAAATACTGACACAACTTGTTCTGATCTTTAGTTTTTAAGGATTTTCTGTCATTATATACTCTGTTGCAGAGACAAAAACTATATGTTAGATCTGTAAAAGAACATACATATTCAGGAACCTGTGAATACAACTCATTTAAGCTTATATGTTACAAGCTGGGATAAAGTTGACTAGAAAAACAAAACACTGATACATACCAGAGTTCACATTAAGCACACTTTTTTATTGCAGCCACTTTCTTTTTCTTCCTTTTTTAAAAACCACTTTGTAGTGTATAATATGAAAGAAAATAACAAAACCAAGTCTGCTTTTGAATATAGGGTAATTTACACAGAAAACAATGTACATTATATTCATATAAACCTAAAGGGCACGGTTATTATTCATTAATGTTAATAGATAACTGAGTATCGCTTGCCAGTCAGACTGGAATCCAATGGAATGTTGACATCGATTGATGGACATACGCATGAGAATATTCGTAGGTAGACTGCTTAGGTCAGTTGAACACATAACACTATCCTGGACCCATCTTTGGGGGTGATAAATCTTGCTATTTTTCTTTATTCTTAAAAAACATTGCATATTCTTCAGAATTCATATAATTAAGATTAATTTAGAGTTTTAGGACCATATTTATCAATTAAGAGTAATGATTTATTTGATTTAAAGAAAAACTGGGTTCCTGGTGCTTCTGGCTCCCATATTGGAAGAAGAATTTTGATTTTGTTTACTCTGTTTTATAGAAAGAAAATTCTAAGTAAAAATTGATAATTACTTTTCATATACATATTTGAAATTATTGGAACTTTTCTTGAAAAACTATTTACTTGAGAGAATAAAAATTGAGCATCATGGATGCACAGCCTATATGACATTAAAAATAGAAGGAAACTGTGTTCTTACAAGTGTTGGTATTGTATTTTTTTAATGGGCTTCTCCACCTTAGTAAGTATACTTATTTTAATGATTGCGGTTAATGATACATCTAGAACAAAGCTTTTGGCTGAAGAAATTTTCATTGATAGTTATTTTCAACTATAATTTGATAATGTTCTCAATTTTAATGAAAACAGTAACACTAAAAATAATATTCAGAATATTCAGAATATTTTAATTAAGCTCATTAATAGATTCTATTTCAGAATCATATAATATATTATCATATATTTTTCTCTACAGTCTAACAAAAGGGTTAACATGGTTAGAATTAGTAATTCTTCATTTTTAGTGAATTTATTTTTAATTTCCCCATTTGTACTGGGGATTGTCATATTTATATTTATGTTGCATACATTTATTGGCTAACTCTGAAGTTCCAGATGTGCAAATATATTGTTATATTTTGTATGGAATAATTTTGATAGCTATATATTGTAGTACTTTAGAGCTGAGTTACAACTGCATGTTTCATAATAGTCATTTTTCCTAAAATGTGTTACATGTAAATCTATTCGTAAAAACATTTTATCATTTTAGCATATGCGTTTTTGAAAAGTGGAATTTGGGGTTATGTAATCTCTTTAACATTCAAGTATCAATAACAAATCTCGAACATATTAAAAGAGCTCACAGTCAGGATCTCAAGCAGCATGTAATTTATTATATCGTTATAGCATCTTTGTTAGGTATTAAATATTTTTATATGCTTTTAGTCAGGGTAGGATCTATATCACAGCTTCAGCCACTAGTAAAAAGCAAAATATATTTCTGAAAATTATGTAGAATTTTTTTCAGGTATGTACATTTTAAAATATGGTTGTCAGTAACAGTTTATATAAAATGACTAGAAAAGTACATTTTTTCTACCTACTGAATAGTTCTGTATAATTATTGTTTACACATTAGTCATCAAAATGGCATGAGATTTTGATTTTTCACCTAGAAATATGCTGTGAGATTATCCAAGGTTAATTTCGACAGATAAATGACATGTCACTTTCATTAAAATGACATTGGGAAACTGAGATAAATAGTTTAGCATTTTCTGTGCTGACATGATGTTTGCCTGTCTGATTGCATCCTTTCCAATAGACAGCAGAGACACAATTACAAAAAAAGACATCTGTGCCAAGGTTTAGCTAGCCAAAAAGGGCATGCTCTTGTATTTAAAAAGGTAGAGAATCCAATCGATGAAAACGTCTGGACCTGTTAGCACCAATAAAACTGAAGGCCACTGGGAAGCTCAGAGAGGGTCTTTGTTGTAGAGATAGAAAGAGACCCAAACTATGACACTTTCAGAGGAGAAGGGTCAGCAAGGAGGATCATCCATCTTCTTCAGTGGCAGCTTTCTGTCAGATTCTAACCCTATTTAGTGGAGGAACTAAGCCTCTTCTGTTGACACCAACCGATTCTCAGCCAAGTGTAAATGAAGCTAATATTCACTGACCTTATGCATAGCAAATGAAGCCCTATGTGTCATTTGAGAAATAATGTTATCTGACACTTCAAAAAGTGAGTGACGGACAGATGTGTGTGTGTGTGTGTGTGTGTGTGTGTGTGTGTGTGAAATAAGTAAAGATATATCCTTATCCACTTTATATTTTTAGTTGACTTTCACAATAACCACAGTTTTACCATTTTGACAGAAATTTAAGTTTGTATTATTTTTGTTTACATGTCATGACATTTTACATGCAGAGCTTGACTGTGCTGCAGAACAAGCTCGTTTGGCTTTCTTCTGTCTCTAAATGCAGTGCCTAGTTACAGAAAGAGAAGATTCAGTTTCTACTAATAAAAGCTGTAAATTTCCAAGACAATTCTGAATTACTAGTTCACACTCAAAACATAATGAAGGAATATATACATCTTTCACATTATTAAAACATGTATTGGTCTTGTTAGAGATCAAGTCAAAAAGGCTTTTTTAAAAACCATTTTTAAAGCATTGTCTAAAATCTTTTCTTTTTAGTTAGTAATTCTGTTAAAATCTAATAATCTTTCTTAGTCTTTAAATCAAGATTTTCATGTTTTGCTTACTAAGGATTATATTTTAAATTGCATATTATGCATTTCTTGTTTGGAAGGATTTTCCATAGTACTGTAAAAAAAATTCTCACAAAAAATAAAGTTTAAAATATGCCAGTAATAAGAAAAATGCTGTACATAAAAAATATTAAGTATTTGCTGTATTTTGTAAGTAAAATATTAATATTAGCAGAAATGAAAAATAGTGATAAAAATTAAATAATTTTAAAGAATGTATGGAATTTAAGGATTTGGGGAAAAGATAGGTTAAAGCATAGCACTGGATTTTCTGAGTTTCACGGAAGGTAATTATCTGACACGGTAGATTTCCTGAGAATCACCAGGACAGATCTGCATCTAATTGACATCAATCATGTTTGAACTGAAAATAAACAGTTGTAAAATTTTTGGAATCTGTGGATTGATTTTTGTTCACCTCATCAGTCTTGTTTATTTGTACTTATTAAAGAAGTGAACTTGCTTTTTGTTCTACCAAACTTAAAAAGACAGCATCTCATCAGTAAGATATTCTCTTCTTAGTTCTTTTTTGACAAGTATCTAAAATCAGATGAGATCTTACATAGTTTCCTCCTGGCATTGTTCCTGAACCTAATCATACAGACACTAAACATGTGTTTAGTCAGTTCTTCTTATTTTCCTCCCACATTTTTGTTAATCTAAGCACCTTTCTAAGTAAAATGGTGCTCAAAGACCACAGAGAAATTATCTGTGTTGATAGTAACTTCGCTGAGTTCTGACTTTTCTCTCTCTCTCATCAATTGTTTATCCTCAGTAGGATTTAGTTATGATATATATATATAAAAGGTGCGTATTTGAGTTGTAGCTTTGTTTATAAAAGATATGCAATATCTGCACATACAGCTACTAAATTCAGCCAATGAAGCCATTATTTTTGAAGTAGTACGATAACAAAGAATAACTTGAGAAGTTTTGTTATTGTTAGTAGTTGTAATGGTGGTTGTGGTGGTGGATTAAATTGAGCTAATTTTCAAATCTTTAGAATTGCAATAGTTTGTCTAAAAAGTCAAGATAAATCCGATGGACACAATTACATGCAAACACATACACTCAGAAATGACAGGAGCCTCTTATTATGGAGATAATTTGTATAAGTGATCTACACAGTCTAGTTTAACTCTACTCGTAAAAATTTATGAAAAAGCTGTCTGGAGTACAGATACAATTTGCTGTGCATTTTTTACATTAATTTGTGATGGACTTTTTTTTCAGAAACCTCATTCAAAGAGTTTCCATAAAAGAGGGGAAAAATATGATTTGGCTAAAAGGCAGTGGATTTGGCTTCATGGAATCACTGGTTAATGGATTTAGCCAGGTGTTCGAATCTAAATTGAAAGGGCCAATTGTACTTTATGATCTGCAGAAGTCATATTAGATTAGTAACACTGAGGTTTAGAAAGCAAAGTGGCATTTCATGCTGCTGTCAAGTAAGTTTCTACCCCTTTGCCCTGGGAGCTTAGAGATTTCAGTCTAGTTCAGTCCTAGCCCAATATAGGGTTTTAAAAAATATGTTAATCAGTGTATTTGGAATCATAAAGTCTTCTGTTAACTTTCTAAAATTATTCTTTACTGAATCATTTGAACCAGTGATATCATCTCACTGGACCTCTTAGTTTAATCTGAGAGGCGTTTTTTTTGGATGGAAACTTCTAAGACTAAAAGGGTACTAAATATATTTCATATACTAATTTAACAATCATTGATTGAACTACATCACTCAAGATTATTTAGGTACTGTATTTACATATGATACTGATTTATATTTCAGATATTTATTAGCCAAACAATTCCTAAAGTCACTAGGATTCTAGGTTCTGGAAAGCTATCATAGCTGAGGGCTATGGTTTGAGAAAAAGATGCCAATAGAGGGTTATTAAAGATGCCTAAACAATTCACATCACTTCGACATGAATTGTAATTTGTTAAAACAGGTCTTAAAAAGAGTTTCAGAAATCCTTAAATGCAGTCAGACTGTAGAATTGAAGCACCCTTATTCAAAGTTGATTGCAATTACAGCCACATATGATTATTTAATGAAATGAGATTTTTTTCTTAAACTAGTATTAGTTTCATGATCCTGTGAAAAGTAAGGTATTACTATAATTAATTTAATAAATAAGTTTATGTAATTGTTATTCCTAATAAAGAATTTCTGTTTCTATTCATTTTCAAAGAAATATTGAAAAATATTTAAGAAAATTGATTGTTGATTTCATATTTTATGTTTTTGTAAAGTCCTTGTCTGAAAAATATATCAAAATAGACATTATGCATATTGCTTTTAAATAATAAATGGTGTTTTATTATGTAATGGATAGGTTTGACATGCATACATTTTGCAATATGAAATAAATTATTTTGCATTTAAGCCATTAAAATCAACCTATTCTTTGGTGGCAATTTGCTATGCTGTGTTAAAGAATGCAAAATGTTATTTTGTATCTTTAAGGAATTACTTGTAGAAAAATAAGGTAAATGGATAGTATGCACTTTTAAATGCATTTTATTTTTTTCTGTTTAAAAATGTATTTAAAAATTTGATAAGATTTTTGTCATATAATCAGTTAGAGAATCATCAGGTGAATAGTGACATCTGTAACTGAGAGCCATGGAATTTGCTGTTTTTTTCTTTTGTGTCGATCTGGAGGGAAAAATAAATCAGTAGTTCCTATACCTGGTTTGACATTTCCCACCTTTTCCTATTGAGGCAGCCAGGCGAAAGCAGTCAGGACAACTGAAAAGGTAACCATCCCTTTGAGGGCATGGTTGATTTTGCTCCTGATTCTTACTGTGCTATAGGGGTCAAGGATATCTGGAAAGGCTTGACCTGTGTTTCCTGTCAGGAAAAGTGGGTGATTTTCACTTTCTACGCCTGCAGATCTCTGGAGTTACGTGTACATTGGAGTTTACTCTTCACTGCTTTGTCAGCATAGCTGTGGCTTTCTTCAGCAGTTGTGAAAGAATCCTGAGATGGAAGGAATTGGGTGTAAAAATTGCGTTATTCTGTAGAGCAGGAGAATGTACTGTATAATTTTTTACAAATTTAGATTGTGCCATATGATTTAAAAAATTTAGATTATTCCATTTTATTTAAGGAAATTGAGTCTAACGCTGTCTGATATGCTCCAAAGAATTAACACTATAATGAGTCAAAAACCAACTACAACTCAGAGTTTATATTTTTAGTTTTTTTTTTAATCTCATAAACCGTGAAGAGTTTAATTTTTATTCTATTTTTAGGTAATTGGAAGGTAAATTCGGAAGCAATAGGTTAGAAAGTGGAGTATTTTTTTTCTGTTGCCTGTGTCTTTTAGCTAGGTAACTAATTAACCAGCTTCCCCTTCCTCTGTTTCTCCCTCTCATCCTTCCACCTTTCTGTCTGTCATTTGTATTCATAAATATAATAGAGAGAGTTCATAAACCTATAGATATATTCATAAATATATAGATAATTTTCTCAGGTCAAGAAGTTCTGTAGTAAATCCTTTTCTTAACTGTAACTTTTCTTTGTGACTGGAGGAATAGTTTTTTAGTTTTGCCATGTTCAGGCTCCTTGCCTTGGTCCTTCTCTGTCCTTTTCTATGGAAGCATCAACGTCCACATGAGAAGAGGTTATGTTCATATACAAGAACAATTTGTTCTTGGTAATACCATATAATTATGTTTCAAAATTTGAATATTGGGAAGTATTTTCCAGTTTTCTTTTCCTCTCTTGCCAGTTGTCTCTTTTGGTTTGTTTCTTAGATGGTGATACCATATTAGTAGTTTCTCAAGTAAAGATGCCACAGAAGTTTCCATTTCCACTTTTATTCCTATAATGACCTCTCTTGCTCCAAGGTGTAGTTCCATCTTTCAGAACCTCCATGAATCTCTGGAGAGGTAGCACCTGCTAGAAAATTCTGAAGGGATTGTACTTTTCAGAGTACACTTATAACAAGGCTACAGGGATTATTAGACTAGATTTAAATACTTGTTGACAATTTAAATTATTACCAAAATTTAATGCATTTTAATGAGGGAAAATGATTAAACTGATGGGAATGTAATATATTGGGGGATTAGGAATTCTGCAGTGCTTCATGGAGAGTAGATCAAACACAACAAAAATATTGGCATTAACGAGAATTCAGTACTAAAAAGACTGTTGGGAAAAATGTTTGGAATTAAAACCAATTCAATTTAGTTCAATCAACATTTCTTGAGTGCTTTTTGTTTACAGATTAACTATGATAAATTTTGGAGAGAGAGATAAACCTGCATGAGTTTGTAGGTTGCCAAAAATACTTAAAACTAATAATGTTAACAATCCAGCAATGCATTTTCAACTCCATTTGAGAAATTAAATTTTGTTTTATTTATTTCCTTTAAAAATGCCAAAGTAACAGGAAAATAGAATAGTATAATGAACACCCTTATGGTCTTCAGACACTCTAATTGTTACAATTTTTCTACATTTATATCCCCACTCCCCCCAGCCCTGTATGTGTATAAACTTTTTTTTTTTTTTTGTCCTGGCTGAACCATTTGAAAGTAAGTTACAGGCATCATGACAGTCAATGCCTAAAGACTCTAGCATATGTTCTCAAAATGAAGATGTTCTCTTACATAAACACAATGCCATATTTAAAATCCAGGAAATTTAATATTTATTTTAAAATTTATCTTAATGTGTAGTTTCTATGTAGTTAATATGCCAGTTTCTGACCTACTTCAAATTGCCTTTTTTATGGCTGATTTTTTTCAATTCATGATTCAGTTAAGTATTTCATATTTGTTTTGTTGACATAATTTTTTTCTTTTCTTGTAATTTGAAACTTTCATTCACCTTTTTTTTTTACTGTACTGATTTTTTTTTTGAGAATCCAGACCAGTTACCTTTTAGAATATTCCACATTGTAGATTTTCTTATTTCTTTAAATGTTAGATTCAAGTTGAATTTTGGGGGCAGGGATACAATATAGTTGATGTGGTTTACTTTCCATTGAGTGACAGCATGCTGCTTTGTCTCCTTATTTCTGATGCTAAAGTTTAGTGATTTTGTTAAACCAGAACCCTGTATTATAAATTTACAAATTTCAGTGATACTTGGGGACACAGAAATTTTCCAATTCACTGACAATCTTTTACAAACTGCTTTATCATTAAGATGTCAACTGGAATCATTTGTTACAGATAGTACAAAGTGTTGATTTTGTGTATCTTATTCCTTCTGTATTTATTGTTTTATTCTGTAAGAAAGTTTTTTCTTTCTCTAGTCCCAACTTCTTGTTGTTATTGTTGAATAGTGCTGTGGACTCAGATTCCAATATCATTTTTTTAAGAAAACTTTCATCTTTTTAATTTCTAGTTGAAGAAGGGTGAAATTAAGTATTCATTTACTTTTGTGGCAGTTCATAATTTTTAGGATTGAAATTATAGCTAATTTATTCCAACGTTTGTTCTATTTTTACTTGCTTATTTTTCCTCTGACAAGAATTTAATGATACTTTACTTTTATGCATCTTTTGTAATGCGTAAATAAGTATTCCATTTTCAGGAGACTTTTTGAGACATATTTCAGATTAGATTGACAGCATAACCCTATTAAAGTAAGTAAATAATTATCAAGAATATTTCTTCCAGACGAATAGACAGAGGTGCCAGTCCAGAACCCACCACGTGATTAGCTGTGTGAAAGCGAAAGCTATTTAATCTCTCAAGACCTTTGTCTCCTACTTTCAAAGTGGGAAATATTAGCAGTATCTATTTCAAGAGGTTGTGTATGGAACAAGTGATGTAATACACACAAAGTACTAGCACATAGAAAATGGACAATAAATATGCATAAAAATGAGATGATGCTTGTAAAGCATTTAACACACTGTCTAACTCATGGTAAGATATCAATAAATGTTAGCTACAATTGTTATTCTAAGAATTGCTTTCTGGGTTTGTATTTTGGTAAATGTGGCTGGAAATGATACAGAAATCTTATTGATTCTCTCTCCAAATATCTCCAAAATCTATTCTGTCAATTTCTGTACATCCTACTGCACTATTTTGGTTTAAGTCTGTGTCTTATCTATCTTACAGAGTGTCAGTAGCCTCCTAATTTATTTGTGTGCATTTGATCTTGCTCCCCTTCATTATTTTTTCTACTCACTCTCCAGCGTCATTTTTTAAATTGCAAATTCAATCATGTTATGATTTTCTTTAAAATATATCATTTCCTCCCATAGTTTCTAAGATCTTTCTTAATATTTAATCAAAATCCTTTTTTTACTTACCTTTGCTTATCTTTTTATGCATCACCTAATGACACTGAATAAATATCCTAAATGTTTTATTCCCCCCTGTGATTATAATATATTGTAATTTTCTGCCTGGATTGTTATCTCTTTACAGAAGGTTCTTCTAAGCTTATCACCCTTCACTATTCTCCCCATTTCCTTCTGAACAAGCCCACAGTCGTGCTGGTCAGAGAGGCTTTCAATATGTACCCACTTTACTGTAATGTGCCCCATTAGATTATAGGTTACTACAAAATAATAGCATTTCTTTATATCCTTCACATAGCACCCTGCCTAACTCACCTAATGAGTAAATAGAAGAGCAATGATTACACATATAAATGAAGTCATTTAGATAACTTCTGTAAAGCAGGAAGCACCGATTATATGTCCTTATCCAAAATGTAGTGAAGTACCAACAAGTGATTTTGATGATGGTAATATTGATAATAATAGGGATTCTCTTCCAGGGTGAGAAAATGCCTTTTGACTTTTGAAAAGATGTCAACTTAAATGTCCAAGAATAGGGGATTAAGACTATTATGAATATCCTTATGGTGAAATGTCATTGAAACTCTTAAATTATGTCATTAAATTATATTTGCTTTCATGGAAAAATGTTAATGATATTAGACTAAGGAAGAAAGAAGTGCACAAAGTAATGTGATACATGTTTTTAGGAAAAGACTGGAGGAATATACAAGATAATGTTCATGTGGGTCATCTTTTGTTGGTGGACTATTTGGATTACTCTATGTTCTTTATATTTTCCTCCTGGATCATGAATTGCTATATGTACATGTGTATGTCTCTGTGTCTATCTATCTATTCTATCTATCTATCTATCTATCTATCTATCTATCTATCTATCTATCTATCTATCTGTCTATCTATCTAAGATGGTCTGGCTTTATGTCCTACACCAAATCTCATCTTGAATTGTAATCCACCGGTATTGGGGGAGGGACCTCATGCAAGTTGATTAGATCATGGAGGTGATTACCCCATGCTGTTCTTGTGATAGTGAGTTCTTATGAGATCTGATGGTTTTATAAGGTGTTTTCCCCCCTTCACTCTGCAATTCTCTCTCCTGCTGCCATGTGAAGAAGGATATGTCTGTTTCCCCTTCCTCCATGATCATAAGTTTACTGAGGCCTCCCCAGCTATGCGTAATTGTGAGTGAATTAACCCTCCTTCCTGTATAAATTACTCAGTTTGGGCTATTTCTTCATAGCAGTGTGAAAACAGACTAAAACAGTCAGTTGGTATCAGGTAGTGGGGTGCTGCTATAAAGATACCCTAAAATGTGGAAGTGACTTAGGAAATAGGTAACAGGCAGAGGTTTGAACAATTTGGAGGGCTCAGAAGACAGGAAGATGTGGGAAAGTTGGGAATTTCCTAGAGACTTATTGAATGGCTTTGACCGAAATGCCAATAATGATGACAATGAAGTTCAGGCTGAGGTGGTCTCAGATGGAGATGAGGAAATTATTGGGAATTGGAGCAAAGGTGACTTTTGCTATGCTGTAGCAAAGAGACTGCTGGCATTTTGCTCCTGCCCTAGAGATTGGTGGAACTTTGAACTTGGGAGAGATGATTTAGGGTATCTGGCAGAAGAAATTTCTAAGTAACAAAGCATACAAGAGGAAACAGAGCATACAAGTTTGGAAAATTTGCAGCCTAGTGATGTGGTAGAAAAGAAAAAAAAATTTTCTGGGGAGAAATATGCTGCAGAAATTTGCATAAGTAATAAGGAGCCAAATGTTAGTTGCCAAGATAATGGGGAAAATGTCTCCAGGGTATGTCAGAGACCTTCACAGCATCCCTTGTCATCACAGGTCCAGAGGCCTAGGAGGAAAGGACAGTTTTGTGGGCCAGGTCCAGGACCCCCCTACTGTGTGCAGCCTAGGGACTTGGTGCCCTCCATCCCAGCCCTTCCATCTGTGGCTAAAAGGGGCCAAGGTACAGCTCAGACCATAGCTTTGGAGGATGCAAGCCACAAGCCTTGGCAACTTCCATGTGGTGTTGGTCCTGCAGGTGCACAGACATCAAGAATTGAGGTTTGGGAACCTCCTCCTAAATTTCAGATGATGCATGGAATCACCCAGATGTAGGTGTGGAGCCCTCGTGGAGAACCTCTGCTAGGGTAGTGCAGAAGGGAAAAGTGGACTGGAGCTCCCACACAGACTCCCCACTGGGGCATTGCCTAGTGGAGCTGGGAGAAGAGGGCCACCATTATTCATACCCCAGAATGGAATATCCATGAACAGCTTACACGTGCACCTGGAAAAGCCACAGGCACTCATTGCTAGCTCATGAAAGCAGCCAGAATGGGGAGCCCCCCTCTTACATCAGCGTGACCTGAATGTGAGACATAGAGTCAAAAGAGATCATTTTGGAACTTTAAGGCTTAATGACTGCCCTATTGGATTTTGGACCTGCATGGGGCTTGTAGCTTCTTCATTTTGGCCAGTTTCTTCCATTTGGAATGGGTTTATTAACCCAATGCCTGTACCCCCATTGTATCTAAAAAGTAACTAACTTGCATTTGATTTTACAGGCTCATAGTCAGAAGGGACTTGCCTTGTTTCAGATGAGACTTTGGACTTGGAATTTTGGGTTAAAGCTGGAATGAGTTAAGTCTTTGGGGAACTGTTGGGAAGGCATAAATGTGTTGTGAAATTTGAGAAGGATGAAATTTGGGAGGTGCCCAGGGTGGAATGATGTGGCCTGACTCTGTGTCCCCATCCAAATTTCATCTTGAATTGTAATCCCTATGTGTTGGGAGCAGTCCCCCTCTGCTGCCCATGCTGTTCTCATGATAGTAAATGAGTTCTTATGAGATTTGGTGGTTTTATAAGGAGTTTCCTTGACTCCACTCTGCACTTCTCTCTCCTGCTGCCATGTGAAGAAGGACGTGTTTGCGTCCCCTTCCACCATGATTATGTTTCCTGAGACCTTCCCAGTTATGCAGAACTGTGAGTCAATTAAACCTCTTTCCTTTATAAATTTCTCAGTCTTGTGTATTTCTTCACAGCAGTATGAAAATAGACTAATTATCTATCTATCTATCTAGCTATCTAATCTATCCATCCATCCACACATCACCATCTCTATGTATATCTAATATATTTATATATAATTTTACAAAGAAAAAGCCTCATGGGAGTAGAACAAGACAAAATTACCCATCATTGTCTCATTCTTCAGTCTCATTAATAAGTGGGGTGCAAGTACTTTTTTGGTTGTTGTTAAATAAAAATATGAGATACCATTGTAGTTAATAAATATAGGGTTTTTTATTTTCAAGAATATTCCAGTATAAATTAAAAAATGCAATCTGGACCAATTTATTTAATATACTACTATAAATGTAGAAGGAAAACAAGTTTTGCGGGAGTTAAAAGTATGAAAGCGTTTGATTTTTATTATTCCTTTCTGACTGCTAGATGACATAGAGGTGGATTATTTAGACACACTGTATTACATAATATGTAAATATCTATTATATATTCATATGCGTACACATATATTTTTTCTCTTCTATTAATACTAGTTCTTGAGCTATTGCTGTTACTAATAAACCATTATACATTTGCAATCAGTTACATTGTTTTGTGGGAATGAATTTCATTTATAGAACAACATGCAAATGGGTAGCATGAGTTCTAATAGTAAATGTGCCATTTTATGTAAGGAAGAAATTGGTATATAATAGTGTATTAATCCCTAAAAGGAAACCAAATTAATTACATAGCTAATAAAAGGAAGTGCATACATTGCTATAATCTTCTTCAATGGCATATTAAATTTTGCCATATATTTTATATTACACACATATTTGTGTTTGTAGTGCAACTAGTTTTTGATGGTCTGTTATTTCATATTCCAAATCTCTGGGTTTCTTCCTTCTATTGAAAATATAGTAATATAGTTTTTTACCTTCATGCCATTCAGTAGGTTTGTTTTAAGAAATTAACACTGATTTTCATGCTAAATTACAAGAAATATTTTAAGAAGACAAATCGTTCAATAACAAGTTACAATATAAGTCAGAAATTAATTCTAATTAAAGTGAGGGAATAAATTTCAAGGAGGGAACAAATAAGGTCTTTCAGGAGATAATATGTGCATTGAGGTTTAATAGACAAATGTGCGATCCTGTGAGGGCACTTCTAGGCACAGTGAGCATGATGAACAAAAGTGGGTGACATATGAAATCGCAGCTCTTATTTGATGATCAGATAGCTAGGGCTTGAGTGAGAAGGATTATAGTGATAAAGCTAGGAAAGTAGAAAAGTTGCATTAAGTTCTGGAGGGCTTTCTATGTTGTACCAAAGAATTTGTACTACTCTTTGTAGTTATGGAACAATGGCCAAGAATTCTTAAGGAGGGCATAATGATTAAATTTTGGCTATAGTAATAACTTTAAGGGAAGTTAAAGTTATTACTGAATACTGAACTAGATATGAGAGAGGCTGAAGGCAACAACTTCTTTTGGAAAAATTTTAGGCAAAGACTCTGAGCTAAGATCCTGTTGCTGAAAATGGGAGAGAAGGGAGGGGGATGTGTTAGGGACACATTATGGAGGTAGAACTAGTGTTTAGTAAAACAATGAGATGTATTAAGGGTAACACATGACATTAGGTTTCTGAGTTTATTTTTTAACTATTCTTTTTAAGCCAAATTCACTTCAGCCAAACTAACTTGGTCAATAATTTTAATATTTTTGAGTGTGCTTATTTTACTTTCCTGATACTGATTTTCTTCCATCTCCTCATAAAAGGTTTATATATTATATGTCCTCCAAAAACTCATGTTGGCCATGCATGGTTGCTCATATCTGTAATACCAGCACTTTGCGGGGCTGAGGCAGGAGGATCCCTTGAAGCTAGGAGTTTGAGATCAGCCTGGGCAACAAAGCAAGACCTTGTCTGTACAAAAAATTAACCAGGCACACTGACACTCCTGTAGCCTCAGCTACTATGAAAGCTGAAGTGGGCAGATGGCTTGAGCCCAGGAGTTCGAGGCTACAGTTAGCTATGATGGTACTACTGCAGTAAACTGGGTGACAACAAGACATTGTCTATAAAAAAAGAAAAAGAAAAACCTCAACTATTACTCCTCCAGGAAGCCCTCTCTGATTTTTATGATCAAAACTAATATCTCCTTAGAAGTCCCAGAATATTTTATTTTTACATTTTTATGACAAATAAATTATTGCCTAAGATATTACATTTTGGTGGTGTAATTTGATGTAATCCTAAATGCAAGCCCTTAGAAATACATTTTGTTGGTGAAGTGCAAGAGTTCAGGGACCAGCGTTTACTCTACCACTTACCAGCTGTGACCTTGGGCGAGCTACTTAATCTCACATAACTTTAAGTTTCCTCACGTTAAACTGAGGAACCATGATAGAATCTATGCATTGAGTGACATCCAAGATTATTATTAACATTAAATTATACACACACACACACACACACAAAATGAGTTCTGATATAAGTCATTGTACACACACACACACACACACACACACACACACGAGTTCCAATATAAGTCATTGTATATTTTATATATATGTATATGTGTATGTATATATGTATATATATACACACACACACACTACAGTGTAATGTCCTTGGAACAAAATAAATGCTTGGTAAGTGTTAATTATTGGGTAGCATGAGAGTTTATGTTTGAATTATTTAGAATATTTAAGGGAGTGGGGAATGGAGATTTTCTTTTAAATGATGGGTCCATCAAATTAAGCTCTCTTAACATCGGGCTCTTAAAACAGGATAAAGACTTGTTGATTGGGTTCAGTGGACAAAGAGACGGAAGCAGTTTCAAATACTCACTTTCCCTAAAATCTCCTTGGTCATTCAGAAAGTCAAGTAGTTTTTCTTAGAATGAATGTGGCTCTGGATAGTGGCTGTGTGTGATGGTAGTGATACCTTTTGAAAATGACTTGGCTATGTTGGGACCTTTTCATGGATATTTTTAAAAAGAGTAGTGGTAGAAAAAGCTGGAAGGACAAGTTAGATTAAATCCTGGTGGGAGAGTTTTTCACGGACACCCACATGGAGCGAGTAGGATCTCATTGTATCGCTTAAACAGTGGTGAGGGAAAAAACCTCGTTCAGTAAACCGGGGACTGAATGGTAAGGTGGGGAAATGGCTGGAATAAGAATAGAGAGGTGTCATGAAGAAAGAAGAGAAATGACAAAGCAAACTTGTTAGCAGAGTGAATAAAAGTTTATTCTTAAATTATTTATATTGTCTATAGCAGGGGTCCCTAACCCCCACCTGCAGACAGTAGTGGTCACTGGCCTGTTATGAACTGGGCTCCACAGCAGGATGTGCGGGGCAGGCAGGTTCATTACCACCTGCGCTTGCGCTCCTTTTCCTGTCAGATCATCATCAGCATTACATTCTCATAGGAGTACGAACCTTACTGTGAACTGTCCATGTGAGGGACCTAGGTTACATACTTTTAATGAGATTCTAACTAATACCTGATGATCTGAGGAGGAACAGTTTCATCCTGAAAACATCCCTTCTACCCAGCCCCCACCCTGGCACCCATTTATGGAAAAATTGTCTTCCGCAAAACCAGTCCCTGGTACCAAAAGGGTTGGGGACCACTCGTCTACATAATAAGGACTCCACCTTCTTTATACTGTGAGATAACAACATTTGAGAGGTTAGTTTTAAGGAATTTTTCTATCCAAAGTTTTCTAAACTTATTGGATTGGTATAATGTGTACAGTTGACTTATATCAAATTCTTTTTATGTAATTCTTAGTGGTATTTGGAGCAATGTTTGTGAACACATTTGGCGAAATGATTATCTAGGCATAGAAAGCTGGATTAAAGTGGAAGAGGAACAAGATACAAGGCTGAGATCAAAGTGAGGAATTTCAGAATTTGTGACTGGAAATGAAAAATTTGACTGCTGATGATGACTTAAGTATGGCTGTGCTTGTTGACAGATGGAAATGCCATCAATTTCTCTCTCCAAAAGACTGAGCAGAGGAATTGGGATGAGAGGATCACAGGTATAAGAAAAAAAAAAGAAATAAAAAGAAAAAAATCTTTGTCACAGAATTCCAGGATGTAATTGTTTTTTCTCCTAACTTGTCAGTTTATTTGTTCCAACAACCATTGACATAAAGCTTGTAAACTTTTTAATTTGTGGTTAATTAAATTTGTGACTAATTTGCTGTTTATTAATTATCCATTTGTTATAATTAATAGATACATGTGTTAATTATGATGCCAAAAGTAGCAGCTTATTTGGTCTATAGAATAACTCAAAAAATCCTAGTTTTTAAGGGCCATATTTTAAGTGAAAAAGATTTTCTAAAATATAAACCTTTAGTTTGTTTCAGATAATGTAATAAAACACAATATGATCTTTTAGAGGGATATTGCATTAGATCATATTTGGGTTCCCCACAATTTCTTCAGTCCTAGATTTATGAAAATGAGATAGGTATCACTTAATTATACAGTAACTTAAAATAATAAATTTTATTGCTTATTTTCCTTTCAGGTGAGAACTTATTGCACTAAAGTTTCTCAATTTGTAATTGTGTTGTCAAGGACAGATGTGCATGGAGCACTAAAAATAGATAAATTTTAAAATGGCAAATGTAAATTCTTTGAAATAAATATACCCGATAACTGATAACATTCAGAAAAAAATAATTATGTATTGTATCTAAAGAGGTCTTTATTATTTTCATAGAAGATATATCTGAAAATATTCAGGAGGCATTGCTTAATGGCAGCTGAAACAAGTGAAAAGCAAATGGAAACAAGGCAGTCACCGTCTGCAGAGCTTTTAATAGTTTTGGTGAAAAATTAAGGACCACCTGCCATGTTGAATTTTATGAGTGATGCAGAGGTACTTGCCAATACATTCATGAATAAGTGAAAAAACAGGGTTTTTAATAGTAACACAAACCTTCAAATGGAGTTAATAAAAGACAAGGCTCTTCTTTACTGGGTGGAAAGTTATCTGCTATATAGAAAGGCCTATTGAATGAAACATTTGTCCTCAAATTCCCTTTAATCTACTGTGAGGTTCTGCCTGTTACCTCACTTGGAATAATGTGCCAATTTTGTAAGGATAAGGAGAATTTTATCCTTTTTTCATTCCCTTAGCTATTTGCTGCAGCATTTCCTTGAATTTCACAGTACCTGCCTGTTTTTAGCAGCTCTAATTTCAGACTATCACTTTCCTGAACTAATGTGTAAAAACTGATATTCTCATCTTTTTGATGGAGAATATTCACGAAATGCAATCCCAGTGAGAATGCCACTTACTAATGGATATTTCTTTCTCCGGACATCTTAAAAAATTCTGTTCAACTCTTTATACCTCTTGTTCTTTATAAAAATGGATTAAAATGCCTGGTACCATGGTGGAATGCTTTTATTGTCGCATATTGCTTTTGTATTATATACTGTAAGTGGTTATTGTTCACATTTCATGCCTTTAACAGTTTGAGTTAAACTATATTTTCGTTTCCCCCTCCCAAAGTATTTGTCTTGTGGCAGTTTAGAACTGGAGCGCAGGAATTATGAGAGATATTATTAGATTTGATGTGTTTGGTCTTTACTCTTTGCTTTTCTAAGATAATTGGGTACTGCTCCTACAGATTGAAAGGGTTAAATGGATTAATAATGGATTTTTTAAAAATGTTGCTGGAGAATGAAATCTGTTTTGTCACTGAGGCAAGAAACCCAGATTCTTCATACTAAATCAGGGTGCTTTAGTTAGTATGGAGGAATGTTAAAAACAAACAAAGAAACAAAATCTTTTCACAGTTTTAAACTTGTTTTTGAGCAGATTGATACTGGGAAATATATTGATTCTAACTCCTAAAAGCATTGGTAGAGGAACTGCATGGCAAAAAATTTCACAGAATCTCTAAATTTCAGAACTTTGGTGTATGTTTAGGTTATTGTTTGATGTATGCCTGCTGTATGTCTAGGTGTATGTCTTTAGTTATTATATTTAGAATGAATTTTACTAATGGACTCATCACTATAATTTCAAGAACGCTTTTATTTCCCTTTATTGTTATTTTAGTGATTATGGTGACATTCATTCTGCTATTATTAATAGCTCTTTTTTCACTCTTGAAAGGGTCCTGGTTTGATTGTATAATCACTGGCCGTATAAACCTTTTGGCATTCTATTTCCACGTATTTTATGTTTCCAAAACAATCACTTTTCTAAGTGTATTCTTGCATATTTTAGCTTTTTAAATATAAAAAGTTATTGTTACATATCGTATCCCAAGTTAAATTGATCTTCATGTATCTGATAATTACATTCCCTAAAAAAAGTTATTATAATGCTCTAAAGTTAAGTTATTAAACTGTGACTCAAATATTCATATTTCATAATAGCAAAATGCCCAACTATAATTTTTGGAGCCAAATCTAGAGCTGAAAATGTAAAGCATTTTATAGAATTATTTGTCAAATTTAATTAAATGGAAAGAAAAATTATGTTTTGGAGGAAGAGGCAATTCAAATTTTTAATTTTTCTTTCTACCTACCAGAATTAACCTTCAATTAGAGTAAGTCTGTATTAAAGCAAATTTGATTTTTATAGTTCATTACATATTTATGTTCTGATCATAGTGCCAACTATCCCATGTGTAACATAATTTTTACTTGAGTAATGCTAACGTATTTCTTTTTCTTGTATTACTTATGTTAATATAAATACTTGTTTATAATTTTATTCATTTCAGCCATATTCAATATATGTTTGTGTTTTTCATCTCCATTTCTATGTGGAATGGCTAGTGAATAAAATGTATACATTTATGAAATGATTAGAAAATTGTAATTGACAGTAATGAAGTACCAGATTGTACAGTACACACCAAATAACACAAGACTTTGACAGAAGTTTAGAAGCAGAATCCAGAATCTAGAATTCTAAATCCTGAAGCACCATAATTTACTAGAAACAGAAATGGATTCAGAAATGAATGACTGGGTTCTAAGCCTATTTTTACTACCTAGTCATATTTCAAAATATAGTAAGTTACTTAATCTCTCTGAGCCTCCACTTTTGTAATCTGTCTAATGTGGGAACTTTACTTGTCTTGCCTATCTCATATGATGCTTGAGGACCCTACTTGCAATTGTAAATCAAATTGCATTTTAAGTTCCAGTGTTTTAAAATGGAATCTGCTTGATGTATTCTGGATAAGTGAAAAGTATAAGAGTAGAGACTAGGGAATATGTTAAACATCTCTTGATTTCCCTTCTCAAAGATTTTCTCGATGTCCAGTTCCCGCTAAACTAATTGATGCATACTGCCTCAGTCTGCCGTCATCTTCTTACATGTCATCTTGCATTACCACCGAAGCCCTCCCGTTAGTTTTCTGCCTCTTGCTAATCCATCATGGCTACAGTAATCTTTCCAAATGCAAGTCTTATCATAACACTATCTTTTAAAATCCCTTCAGTAGCTTTCTTTTCCTCTTAGAAAAAACAACATCTTACCTCCTTTTCCTGTCTCTCTTTTCAGCTCTGACCTTTGCCTCTCTTCCACTTGTATTTGGCACTTCAGCCACTTTGACATTGCCTCAAGGCACCATGATCATTGCCTTAGATGTGCCATGATCTTTTTCCTCTCTATTAGTTATTTGCCTATGAATTGTCTCTTTCCAGTCTCTTGAATATCTCTTACATTTTCTGCAGGTTTCAGTTATACCAAAGAGTCCATGTTTCTACAGTGATCTCCTTTCATAACACCTAATGCTTTATTAGAATGGTTTAATTTATTATTGGCTTTCTACAAACTGAGAGGTCTATGAGGGCAGGAACTGTGTCTGTTTTTCTTCCTACAAGGGGTCTAGTTCTTAGCATAATAAGAACATAAGAAGTACCCAGAATATTTCTTGAATGAATTAGCGAATGACTGAAACAAATCAGGAATGTAGGATCCTGAATGAGGTGAAGTATGATAACGATTTGACACAGAGTTACTGTTATGAGAGGGTCAAAAGAATAACAAACAGGAATTGATTACATTGATATGAGAGGTAGAAGAAAGTAGAAACTTTTAAGTTTTCTGCTGTTAAAGGAATGACAAATTTGGAGGGAGATTTTCTTCTGGTTTTCCTTTTGAAATTTGAAATAGGGACACTGATATAAGATAAGGGATGGTGGAAATAACAATAGTTCTGTCAACTTAAATCTATGTAGCACATTTTTTTTTTTAGTTTTTCAAAGCTTTTTTCTTATTTTACAGAATTATTTCAAAGTTAATTTCCAAGCAAATCATCTAGGGAACTTTGAAGAAAACCTAATATTTTAAAGGATGAAACTAACTTTTCTAATGAAATTATGGTTTTTTTTGTTTAAATATTTTGAAAAAAAAACTAGCAATAACCATTATTTATTTTGTTTAGTTAGGATGGGCTCTATTACAAGGACATACCTGGAGCCTAGAAGTAAAACTGATACCTGTTTGTATTAAAACAGAATTTCTCAACAGTAGCACTATTGACATTTTGTACAGGATCATTCTTTGTTATGGAAGGCATATAGGATGTTTAGCAGCATGCTTGATGTCTACCAACTAGATACCAGTAACAGACCTCCTCCACACCCAGTTATGATCATGGAAAGTGTCTGCAGATATTGGCAAATGTTTCCTACAGGGCAGAATCACCTTCATTTGAAAACTATTGCACTGGAGAGTTAGAAATTATATTCCATAGATAAGAAAATTTGTAAAGTGTTGGAGCCTTGTAATTATCATGTAAATTTTTTATGGATCTTTGATTTCCTCATGGTGGTTATATGTAAAATGTAAAGCATCAAGGTGATTACTTTCAGATACTTCCAGGAATGCGGAACGCTAGGGATGCAATGCTGCTTGTCTCAGGAAACATAGACATCCGAGCAATAGAGTAGGTGATGAGAACTTAAGAAAAGAAAGACAATTAATTTATGTTTTGAGGGTCTTCCTCAGAGATGGAAGGAGAAAGCACCTGAGTCTGCCCAAATCTTTAACTTGAAGCCCAGGGCTGAGGAGTCAAAAAGCTCTTACATTTCCTCAAATGTGGGGCTTCCGTTACAGGGTATGCATTTATGCATACAATCTACTTTATTTTTGTTCAAATACATTGATACGGAAGACATTAAATGTTATTTTATAAGGGAAGGACACGATTTTCCAGACAATCAGCTACATGTATTTCAGTAGTTGGAAGAAGCATCTTCTGCTTCTGTTCTCATATATCATGATGATCAGTTATGTTCTCAAAGAATTCATGTCAGTTATTTGGTGGCAGACTTTCAGTGCTGAATTGGTTTATGAAAATGGACCAGGCGTGGTGACTTATGCCTGTAATTCCAGCACTTTGAGAGGCCAAGACAGGTGGGTCGCCTGGCACCAGGAATTTGAGACCAGCCTGAGCAATATAGCAAGGCCTTGTCTCTAAAAATAATGTTAAAAATTAGCTCAGTGTGGTGACTCATGCCTGTGGTCCCAGCTGCTCAGGAGGCTGAGGTGGGAGAACTTGAGCCTCAGCAATTGAGGCTACAGTGAATAGTGATCATACCACTGCACTTCTCCTGGGCGACAGAGTGAGATCCTGTCTCAAAAAAAGAAAAAGAAAATGAAACCCCACACAAAAAAATGTGTCCCCTGATAATTACTGGTGACAGTATAGCAGTGTGCCCTCTCTCTTCCTCTCTTGATTATTTTCAGACTCATTAATGATGAGATGACCAACCCCCACCTCCTTCTGACTATCTTCTGCCATGTCCACATGGCATAAATCTTTTATAATGAATGTTCTGTGGACCCACTGGATAGGAGAAATAACAATGGAAGAAATTCTAAAATATTTTCCTTTTGTGATCATGAATGAGGAAAATGGGAGCTTTTGTTTTTCTTAGTTGCCTTTAGAAGAAAAATTGTCAGATTCCTTAGGTTAGGTGGGAAGCAGATTAACAGCAAATTGTGTATAGAGACTTACATCACTGTTTAGGGTAGCAAAGAAAAAGCATGAACTGACTTCAAATGTAAGTTATATTTTCACAGAACTCTATTCTTTTTTCATTACTTTTTTGATTAGTGAATTTTTTATCTATACTAGCTGCCTATTAGGAGTTTGTTTTTTTTTTTTAATTCAGGCTTCCAAATCTTGGAGTTTTTTTTTTGTTTGTTTTTTGAGTCAAGGTCTCTCTGCTAGGCTCACTGTAACTTCTGTGTCCCAGGCCTAAGTGATCCTCCTGCATCAGCCTCTCGAGTAGCTGGAACTACAGGCACATGCCATCTCACTATTTTTTTTATTTTTATTTTTTTTTAGAAAGAGAGTTTCACCATGTTTCCTGGGCTTTTCTCAAACTCCTGAGCTCAAGCCATCTGCCCACCTTGGCCTCCCAAAGTGCTGGGATTACAGGTGTGAGCCACCATGCTTGGCCTCTCTGAGTTTTTATCAGTCTTGTTAAGTTGTTTTTGTTGTTTGGTTTTACATTTCAAGTTACACATATTGGAACATGAGTTTGGCATACTTTCTTCCATTATAGAGTGGAGGGTAGAGTTGTACTTCTACCAAAATAACATGCTAAACAAAGTAAGTTTATGGAGATCAATAACAGAAGGAAAACAGGCTTATTTTCAAATGAATATTTTTTAATGATATTATTTTCAAGGATCCAGTATACATTGTTTCCTTACTTGTTGAAATTATTAAAGGAATTTCTAAGTTGAAACTTTCAGACATTTAGTTACATGGTTTATATAATGAGGCAGTTAAACAGATTGCAAAAATGTTAAAAACTATTCAGAAATTTTTGTATGTTATGGAGGAAGCAATATTATCTTTTTTGAAATGATATTCTTCACTATGTTATAATAATTATGATGATAATATTAACTGATATGTGTAAATTACTTACTGTGTGCCAAACACTCTTACATTGTTCTTTAATTTAATCCTCATAGTGATCCTATTAGGAAAGTGTCACTATTATTCCTGTATTACAGATGAGGAAACCAAGGCAGTTTCCTATTGGTGATCTAATGATGGTTCTAGCACTTGAACTCAGGAGTTGAACTCAAGGTGTTTGGCTCCATAGCCAGCAGTCTGAGCGACTAGTCTCCACTGTTGTTTAATTATTTTCTTAACCATCCATATGCATTCACAGATACAAGTTTCTTCTATTTTGGCAAATAAAATTACAATGACTATAAATATACATAAAACCACAACATATTTGGCAGTGTCAAAGGTTCGCTAGTAAGGCATGACACTTAAAAGGAAGACTTAAAATGATTAAACTGTGAAATATAAAGGTAATATATTTGACACTTCTACATTTAGTTAGAAAAATATGATCTTGCAAGATTTTAGTGAGGGTATAATGTACTCAGCATGAGACAGATAGATGATAGAGAGATAGAAACATAGAGTATTTGTCTATGTATATAAATTCATATCTCTATTCTTGTCTGTAGTGCTAAAATAGAGGAGTGGGAAGACAGATGAGGGACTCAATTACCTAACCCAGAGGTCAGATATGGCTTCACTAAGGAGGTGACGTGTTTTAGAAATTTAGCAAATATACCTGTAATGACTCTCTTCAGGGAGTTAGCACTACATAGTGTACTCCTTCATAGAACTATCTCTAGATTTGACCTGAATATTTTTTTTAAAAGCTCTGGTTAAATACCTCTAGTGCGACTTCATGTTATTTTGAGGCTCTCTGTTGGTTAGGAATTTAATATTCTGTTACATTCTTAATAATTCTTCTGACATGTTATACATTTTTATTTATGTAGTGTTATGCTTTATTTCTCTGAAAATTAATTGATGTATTTATGAAACATGAGGTATATTGTGAAAGCCTTTATTCCTTTATGTACTAGTATATGTCAAATGAGCTTTGAAGTGATTTTTTTTTTACCTTTTGTAAAACATGTAACAATATACTAATCCATTAGTAAATGGCACACTTATGTTAAGCTTGTGATTATTCGAAAGAGAATACACCAGAAAAAAAAAAGAAGAGTGACAAATAGAGCATAAACCTTTGTCATTCTACAGAAATAGCTTTGGAGATATTGGTGAATCATGAGAGCTAAAAATACTACTAATCTTGATACCATCATCTAAGCTCTCTAATTAAACTGTCTCACATAATACTGTGTGATAATCCTATATGGTAAACAACTGGCAAAACCATGAAATATCAGATTCCAGAGAATCATGAGTAGAAGTCAATGGCAAGAGTGAGAACCTATTCCATACAATTTTCACAAATGATATTGAATATAAGAAATGCAGTGTAAAAGTACTAAATTACACGCAAGTTTCCCTGACCTGCCTTATGGAATTCACCATTTCTAATAAGTCAGGGCTTCTGTTCTTGACTCAAGTCTTTTTTTCACATGACCAAGTTATTGAACAATTACTTTACACAGAACATTTAGATTTTAAGAAAAGGTCAAGAATTATTGCTCTTGGAGATGTCTGTTAACTTTGTAATTTTTCCCTTTTGATATTGAAGCAATAAAGTAGAATTTGTGATTATTTTAATAAAATTAAATATAATATAAAGAGAACTAGTGGTTTCTAGCTGTTAATTCCAAAGATATATTACTATAATTATTGACTATATGTCAAAATACAAATATATCTTCTGTTATATAATCATGTATCACAATTAAATATTTGAACAGAAAATGTATGTATTTTAATCCAGACAACTATTTTGACAATTGTTGAAGACATATGCACTCTAAATTGTAAGAGTATATACCATAATTCAGAAGGAAGTACTACATTTTCAGAATTCTCCATCTCCTTTTAGTATAATTTTGTTTAAAAAGGTAGTGGAAGAAGTAATTTACTAAAAAATTAATGAAATCATGATATAGATATTAAGGCAAAGCCAATGTATAAACTTAACTATTATATTTTTCATGTGAAAAGTGGAATGTTTAACCATATTGAATAGCACTTAGGCTGTTATAGCTGCAAGCACAATGCTTTTGAGTTAGTCACTCAACACATTTCATCAACAAACAGAAAACTATTTAAAAGTTTGGACAACCTATGCCATTTGAGGCCATAACTTAGAAGGAAAATTTATAAAGCAAAGATGTAATGGAAATAACAATCAAAAAGCAATGCATCTTATCTTGCTAAAAATTGTTTTCTCTAAATTCTAACTTTGTGAAATATTTTATAGCATTCAACACTAATATATGATAAGAGTAGGATTTCAGTCTGGGAAAATCAAAAACCTTAAAACCTTATTGATTCTATGTCTAGACATTATCTTTTAACATCTGTAGCATGAGAAGATTCACTTTCTAGCCTCTTATTTAAACAGCTGCTAACTTAAACTGCAAAATAATCATGTTGAAAAATGGCAAAAGGAATAGTCATACTCTTATAAGGTTGTAACTCCCCTTTCTGTAATTGCTGATATTTGGCAAGTATTACCCTTTGTTTTGCTGTGCCATAGGTAGTATGCTCATTATGGTGAAATGAAATGAAAGCATAAAGGAAATGTTCAAGCATCAGATACCTCCTTTATCATTGGTGTTCATCCACTCACAAATGTTTATTTAATAAGTTCTTATACAATGCTTGATTATTCCTAAGTAATATAAAGATAAATCATTCACCCCTTAGCTTTTAGATATTCTGTTTATTTAGATGCATGTAAAACTAGTTTTCTTATCAGTCTTTTGAACATTTACCCAAAAGGGTAATTTAACTTAAATGTTGAAAAAAAATTGATTCTAAAAATATTGTCTGATCCATTCCACCTGGTATCCATCTGTGACAGTATGTCTTCACAATCTGTCATCTGCTTTTATCCTGTATGTTCTTAACCACTTCATTTGGGTGCAATCTTTGAACTGATTTTTTCCCTTCCTTATTTCTGGTGTTCTGGTTAGTATAAATTGACATTTTCAAATCTTTAGTCAGGTTTTGGGATGATGTATACTAATTAATTAGGAAGATGTAATGTACCATCAGCTCTCTATACATATTCGTTTATAGCACCATTAATATAGAGGTAGAATCAATCATTATATTCTAGTTTTTCATTTCCTTTGTAAGAACTTTCAATGCATTTTTATTTGGAAATGTATACATTTACTTTATCATCATTTCCTATGAGAAAACAGTACTTCACTTCTAAATTTCTAAATTCTTTCAGATTGAAATATATGCACACATAGGTGTTGAGTCTAATACTTTGTAGCGCTTGTCATTACAGTTGCCTCTCAGTATCAAGGGGGGTGAGTTACAGGATCCCCTTGGATACCAGCATCCACAGATGCTTAAGTCCCTTATATAAAATGGCATATATAGTATTTGCATATAAACTATACACATCCTTTTCTATACTTTAAATAATCTCTAGATTACTTACAATATCTAATACAGTGTAAATTCTAGGCATGTAGTTGTTATATTGTGTTGTTTTTAAAATTTGTATTTTTGTATTGTTGCATTATTTTTTGTTATTTTTTTCCCCAAATATTTATTATCCATGGTTGGGTTAATCCATGGATGCAGAACCAGTGGATACAGAGAGCTGACTGTGCTTTTTCTTTTTTTTTTTCTTTTTGAGACAGAGTCTCACTCTGTCGCCCAGGCTGGAGTGCAGTGGCGCGATCTGGGCTCACTGCAAGCTCCGCCTCCTGGGTTCACAGCATTCTCCTGCCTCAGCCTCCTGAGTAGCTGGGACTACAGGCTCCCGCCGCCACGGCTGGCTAAGTTTTTTTTTCTTTTTTTTTTTTTTGTATTTTTCGTAGAGACAGGGTTTCACCATGTTAGCCAGGATGGTCTCGATCTCCTGACCTCGTGATCCACCTGCCTCGGCTTCCCAAAGTGCTGGGATTACAGGCGTGAGCCACCGCGCCTTGCCGACTGTGCTTTTTCTGAGTTCACTCTGAATATTAAGGTACTTTACAGTTTTGCCTAGTTTATAACTTGAAAAATGTAAAGTAGTATATGTACATATAAATAAGTTTTCACCTTTAGTTTTGTCGTGCCCCTCCATAGGTCATAAATCAAATGAATTAGTATGTCTTAGAGACATATGAAATGTAATAGGAAACCAAATGTACAGAAGGGTGTGTGAATATATATGTGTATTTATGCTCATAATAAAAGAAAACAAAAGATGTAATATCCCATTGTTTTTAAATCAGTGTTTTTGCTTACTCTACAATTGTTTAAATATTTAAAAGAGAGCCAGTAAGAAATAAATTGAAATTATTTTTCATAAGAATCAGTGATATTTCTGTTTTCCAATAGAAATGTTAATTATTAGAATTTATTTTAATAGTGGCCTGTCTAGTTCCAAATTACCAACAGAAATGAAAGTATTGTGTACTTACTGTATGGCAATTCTCAGTAATCTAAAACTAGAATATTACTTTTTTGGGTTTGGGTAGGTCATGTATTTAAAGAGAGATAGTTTCTTAAATAATCCAGAGCAGGAAAAAACTATTATTCTTTAAATTTTTGCCTTGGAAACAACCCTGAAATGATAGTTTTGTTATAACTTATAATTCTCAGCTTAGTTGTTTTCCTTCTCTTGGACCTTTTCTCCCCTGTGTTCAGAGAAGGTATTCAATTATATGCTCCTAAAATGCTTTTAATTTCATTCGTATACTTTTTGTTGTTACTGTATTAAGGATGCTTACAGAATCATGTTAAAATCATCTAAAGTATTAGTCTAAACATGGCTGTGCAGTTGTCTCCCTGTGCAGCATAACAGGGAGACTTAAAGACTGAAAGCCAGTGAAGTGTCTCTCCTTACTTCTGTAGCCAAGGCTGCACTCCCCTCTACTAAGAATGTGCCACATCAGTCCTATTGCTCTGATGACTATGAAAAATTTACTAAGTGGTGTCAGTGAATTAACCTTTGGTAAGTGGGATGGTGTCACCAGATGCATAATGCTGGAGGATGGATAAGATTCCTTCATTCGTCCATTCAATAAACATAGATTAACCTCCTGCTATGTGCTGGACATTGTGCTAGGCTTTGGGAATCCATGGATACATATATTATAATCCCTGAACTTGAGGGTTTCACGGTGAGTTAGAGGACACATGCATAAAGAAATAATTATGGCAGTGTGAATGACATAGTGGTGGTATGTTGTATTGAGTGAAACTGTTCTCCTAAGTAGCCTTAAGAGCTCAGAAAAGATGGAGGAGGCAAAGCGTTTAACTGATTCATGAAGAATGGATGTTGCTCTTTTAAAAAGAATGAAACTATATAGGGTTATTCTTTACATATGTAGCTACTTTTTCTGCAGAGTTTGTTTTAACAGACAATTAAATGATATTCTGCTACTGGCTACGTTGTCTTTTTGCAAAATTCTATGGATGCAAAGTTAGTAGGATAATGGATACAAAGAGATGTGGCAAATTATTTATTTGGGTGTGGAGGTAAAAATCAGCAATTAATTAACTGGTTTTCTCTTATGAAGGAGTAGAAAGTATGAAAATACAGTCAGAATTCTTACTAGTTTATTTCTAAAAATTCTATGTATCTTGCAAGTGTGTGTGTGTGTGTGTGTGTGTGTGTGTGTGTGTGGCCTTTATTTTTCTTTTCTTTTCTTTCTTTTTCTTTGCCAGCTCTTTTTTTTAAAAAAGAAAGGATTGAGCTCAACAACATTTTTCTAAGCATTTATTCTGCTTGTTATTTTCTTTTATTTCTAAGAATTAAGGATTGAGTGAATACACTCATTGTCCTGACGCATCCATTTAATATGTCATGCTTCAGGGTAAACTGATTTCTTTATGATCTCCAGAAAATTTTCCACTGACATAACAGAAATGATTATTTACCTCCCCACATGTTCAAACTGCCTTAACCTGCTTTAGGGTTATTTGCTTCACAAGACTTAGTATTGATCCACATTTTATAACTGACTAAATAAGGAAACAGAGTCTTCACCAAACAGCTAGAACGATTGCTTTAACTGACAATTTTGCTTTAATCATTTTTAAAATTATCGCAGAAAACTGATAGTGAAAAGCCCATGTCTTGGACTGCTTTGCATAGAAGTATAGCTCTTTATTTTAGGAAATTAAGATGAAATTAATTATCTTCTTTTTAGCTGTGGATTTTTCAAGGCTTGCACCACAAATATATAGATTTAAATATATTATGGGAGAAAAATTAATTATTGACAAGCCACTCACAAGATAGTCCAATTTTAATCCTTCGAATTGGACTAAAGTTGCAATTTTTATTAACTTGAAGTAACCTGACCTTATAGAATATTCTTATATTGCCAGATCCTTCATTAGCCTCATTGAAAATCAAGCCAATAACTGCCACAGATAGCTCTCCAGTTTATATATAAAATTGGTCAATAATGTGTCCCTGCACACTTCCTGCATGTCTACCTGTGCTGAGTAGTTTTCTCATTTCACATTGATGAAATGCTACAGCTTTGGCAGGAAAGGTGACTTCAGAATTTATAGTCACCTCTGAAATAGGAGATAATTGGGCATGCTGTAAAAGATACAAGTTAAGGTACAATGTTTATAATTTATATAAGTAATTTACTATTAAATATCAGAAATTTAATTAGCTTAAGCTCATAATCAACTGATTATCCATACCATTTGAAGCCAGTGGTCAAAAGGATAATGTAGTGTTTAGAGATCCTCATTATTTGTCTTTTTAGCTGATATACCTTTTTGGTACATTGCCTGCCTGACACAGTAATAGATACACAGTATGCAAATAATAATAATTTGGTCGAGGAATGAATACTGGGCTATATTTGGTTAATAACTAATTTGTATTTCTTATTTGCTTACACATTTGGGAATAGGGAAAGTGGTTCAGAGGTTGTCTGGGGTAGAAACTACAGTGGGATCAAAACTTTGCTTGGAAATTGACATTGTAAAATAGTCACAGTACTTAACTAATTATTGAGTGCTTAGTCTATGCCAGGCAGCATACTAAGTTCTTCACGTGAACTATGCACTGTAATTCATAACAATCTTATAAGATAGTCTTATTATTATTTTCTCTATTTTATATATGGGAAAACTGGACTCAGAACTTGAGCAAATTTGTAAAGACCACACAGTGAATACGTACTAGGAGAGCAGCCAGTCTTATAATTTGTGTGTGTGTGTGTTCTAACAGTCTTATAATTGATATAAAGAACAAGCCATCCTACCTCTTTAGGATCATTGAAGTGAGACCTTATATAGTGAGACTGACAATGTCTATCATTCAAAATATGAATTTTATCTTTTGAAAAATGTGTTAAAATTATGTAACAGCAAATGTAATGTTACTTAAAAAGGGGAATTATCACTCATATTTTTTAACATAGAGCCTACACTCTCTGACCTTTCTCAGTAGGTTTTCATAATGAGAATGTATAATAAAACTGATGTGCAAAATTTATGATACTTTAGTAAATATGAGAACAATTTGAAAATAAACTTGGCAGTGGCATAAATGCTATTGAAAATTGTGCCTCCTGTCTGAAATCTTCCAAACACTAATTGTGGGGTAAGAACTCTCCTAATTGTTGCCTCTTGTTCATAAAGACATGTCCTCAAAGAAGATTTTTAGTAGAATAAAATGGTGCTGTGTCACAAATAAGCCAGACTTTTAAGTTCCTACAAATAAATAATTTAATGTTTGAGTTTATTAAGCTAACTTCCTCTAATTTAAGTATTTTTAGTCCATGGGAACCCCAGAATAATACTGTTTTGTCACAGACTTGAATTAGAACTAAAAGTACTTTATTTTACTGCTTTTCCTGTCCAGCTACTAGATCCTGAGATTTCATAGTTCATTTTTTTTAATCTATGGGGTGAACTCTCAGAGTAAACCTATGAGGACATTATTGAGTGACATCCAGAAGGGTTTGCATTTCATTTTGAATCTTTCCTTTTTTGCACAAGTTGATTCTTTTTAATAATTTACATGACTTAAAAATTCTATTTCTGGATACTTACCTGCATGAACCAAAATGAATGTGCACATCTTCGGAAACACAGACAAGGTTCAGCAACAATGGCACGGTGAAAGCGAGAGGTAAACCGGTTGGCAGACGGATCTCTGACAAGAATCAGACACCATCAGGGGTGCCGTGTGGATGCAGGACAGCCCCTGTAGAACCTGTTTTTTAACACTGTTGCTTGCTAAGGCATCTCTGAAAGACTAAGTGGGTGTACTGTATGTTTCTATATGGTATATTTGTAGGGGCGGTTAGGCTGATGATGGTAGAAACATGCATTTTTTAAAGACAGCATTTCAATTAAAACAATTGGAAGGTAGTTTAGCAGCTAGACATTTCATTACTGTGTTCTTGTTATAAACAATCATTTGCAGATAGAAATATAAATAAAAACTACTATGTCTGTAGCACGTTAGAGTTAACAAGGAAATAAGGAAGTAGAAGCCTAATGTGAAGTGGCTTTGCCCCAATTGTATGCTAGTAAATGGTGGAGTGTATTTGAACATAGATCCTTTGAATTAAAATCTGAATCTCTTTCACTGTATCATATTACCTCTTCAACACAGGCTCGTATTTATAAAGTAGAATACATAACAAGACAAAAATAATACTAGAATATTCTAACTTGACTTTTTTTTTCTTTTTTATCATTTGGATAATGACATCAGAATTATAGTGATCATTTGATGAAATAAAGAGTCATAACTCCAGACCTCAACCAGATTCTTAACATATTCTAAGCTGAAAATTTAAGTAAAGATGTGTTCACATAATGCTTTGTTTTATTTCATTTTACATTCTAAACTTTAGAAACGAAACTTTTTAAAGCTTCTTATTTTACATGTTTTTCTTTTCCACTATATGTTATTAATAAAACATCAAATAATTAAATAACACAAATTAATAACAAACACACACGTAAAATGCCTTGAAATGAGTTTTTCTTGTTAGTTTTAAAAATCCCCATGTTATCATCGAGCACTTAAGTACCTGTTATGAAAAACTTTATATTCTGCATGCTGTCTTTTCTAAACTCTTGCATGTTAGTTCCAGGGTGATAGGGATGTTGTTCCACAAACCATAATGTACTCATTACATCATGTTGTTTTTATCCTCCCTGCTCGCTGTTCATTCTCAACGTGAAAAATCATAGAATATTAGTGACAGGAGGTCTGTATTTTAGGCAGACTTTTGTAATTATTCCCACTGAGGCATAGTCAATAGGATTAAAACACAGATTCTGGATCTGTCCATCCCAGATGAGGTCAGTTCTTTGAGCAGTGGGAGTACTATTTCTATAAGCTGTGCTTTCCCCTTTGCCTTATAGAAACATAGATATTAATATGACACAAATATTTGAAAGCTCCTATGGAAACAGACTGGCTTTGCCTGAATTAAGATGAATATTCATCTGCAATAAATAAAATAACAGCATTCATTAGAATTCTTAACTACGTTTGTATGTAGATTTTACAACAATGTTAAAGCCCAGAAAGTTTCAATTACAGAACAATCTACTTACAGTTCATAATTAATAAACTCTTTACAGCTGCATAACTGTGGCCAGCAACATCTGCAAAGCCTTATATTTTACACACAGACATACATAATTCCTTCAGAAAATGTTCAGTTGTGCTTAAAATCACAGGTCTGGAAATGGGGTAAGACCTGAGGAAGCTGAGTCAAGTTGTATTCCTTTAGCTCAAGGGAGAGAAGTGGAGAGATGGGAGAAGGAAACCAGACCTCATCTGGCAAAGTAATGTGGATGAAAAATAAAAATGTTTAATATCTATTCAGAAATTCAATCACAAATATTTCTATAAAATGTATCAAAAATCTCCTCTAAATATAAGCTTGGTTTTGGTAAGACTGTTTTTTAAGTGATAAAATTATTACTCCTCAGATAAAAGATAAGCTATTATTTATGAAACTCCAAAAATACATACTAAATTAACAAATAGGTTAAAACAATACCTTGATAATAGATTTCTAATAGTCTTAAAAGTAATCCATAGGTAATTTCTTTTTTTAGTTTTTAATTTTTGTGAGTACACAGTAGTTGTACATAGGTAATTTCTTTTACCTAAATGCAACTTTATAAAATTTGATGCATATAGAGTATATATGTTAGAAAAATAAACTAATATAAGCAAATAAAATTTACTATTTTTTCTTAATGTTTGCCTGTTTAAGTGTTCAGATTTGAAGGTACATTACTGATGAATTTTTTTTTTTTTTTTTTTTGAGACGGAGTTTCGCTCCTGTCGCCTAAGCCCCACGCTGGATGGAGTGCAGTGGCACCATCTCGGCTCACTGCAGCCTTCACCTCCCGGGTTCAAGTGATTCTCCTGCTTCAGCCTTCCGAGTAGCTGGGGTTACAGGTGCCTGCCACCACGCCTGGCTAATGTTTGTATTTTTAGTAGAGACAGGATTTCGTCATGTTGGCCAGGGTGGTCTCAAACTCCTGACCTCAGGTGATCTACCTGCCTTGGCCTCCCAAAGTGCTGGGATTACAGGCATGAGCCACCGTGCCCGGCCCTGATGGATTTTATAATGAGAGCTTTATTAAGATATAATTCACATATCATACAATTCCCCCATTAAAGTGTACAATATATGGATTTTTGTTATAGTCACAGAGTTGTACAACTGTCACCGCAAATCATTTTTAGAACATTGTAATTACCCCAAATATAAGCCTTATATCTATCAACAGTCAAATGCCATTTTTGCTTACTACCCCATCCCCTGAAAACTGGTAATCTATTTTCTACATCTATAGATTTGCCTATTTAGGATATTTTATGTAAATTGAATCGTACAATATGTAGTCTTTTATGATTGGATTCTCTTATGTAGCATGTTTTAAAGATTCATCCATGTTGTTTTATGTGTCTGTATTTAACTCCTTTTAATTGGTGGATTATATTCCATTGTTCTAATTCATTCAGTAGTTGATGGACATTAGGTTGTTTCCACTTTTTGGCTATTACAAATAATTCCACTATGAACATTAATGTACAGGTTTTTGTGTGCATGTATGTTTTCATTTATCTTGAGTATATACCTAGGAGTAGAATATACTACTTGGGTCATGTAGTAACAATGTTTATTCTTTTGAGGAACTGGTAGTCTTTTTGAAAGTGGCTGCACCATTTTACATTCCCACAAGCAGTGTAGGAGAGTTCTAATTCCTCCATATTTTCACCAACACTTGTTATCTTTTTGGTTATAGCCATCCTAGTAGATGTGTGGTTTTGATCTGCATTTTCCTAATGGCTAATGATGTTGAACATCTTTTTAAGTGCTCAGTAGCCTTTGGCACATCATTTTTTATGTGTTTATTACTCATTTGTAAAGCTTTCATGGAGAAACATCAATTCAGATTCCTTGCATATTTTTGATTGGCTTATTGATGGATTTTAATTTTTGCACTTTTTAAAAATTATTGATAATATCTAATTTTACCTCCTCAGTGTTATAGGGGAGATATTTTATTATCATGTATTCTTTAGAGACTTTGATAGTCCAAGAAAATACCTGGAACCTCCAGGATGTTGGTTCTGAACACCTATACAATTTTTTTAAAATATAGAAATGTCTAGGCCCTAATAATGATTTAATTATTTGGATAGAGTCAAGACATTAGTGTCCTATCAAAGCCTTCCTAATGTTCAGCCATGGAGGATAGCCAAGCAAGATATGGATTATCAGTGCCTTAATGTTCAGGATGGTGTGAAGTATGTCTGAGATAAAAGTTGGTGCTTAAGAGTTCCAAAAAATCAGTCCATTAAGGATCAGGAAATCTTTTTTTGGCTGTAAAAGAACTCTAGAAGTAGGTGGATTTTCTAGCAACAAGATTGTCGGAAGGGGGATCCTTAGAAATATAATCAGGTAAGATTTCTCCCAAGCATGCAATTATAGGTCATAAACCTAAAAAACTGGACCAAGTATGGGTATCTGTGCCCTCATTCAGGAAGAAGATACATTCCATTTCTACTTAATTGCTTAAGTTAAAGAGGCATGGGAATGTATGGCTTTTGGGTGGCCTTTAGGATTGTTCATTTACAGTTGTTATACCAGTACCCTGATTGGTCCACTGACTGCATAATGCAAGTATAGTCTCAGTGGCCTGGCATCCCATTGCTTAAACAAAACATCTATTGAAGACAACTATGGATTATGTGATTGTTAGGAGAATTTAATGGAGAATCAGCATAGAAGGTTTTGGTATCAACTCTCTTGTATATTTAAATAATTTGATTTCAGAATTTTGGTGCTTTTTTATTCTTAAATAATTTATAAATGGGAAACCTGATTGCCTTTCATGTTCTTTGTTAAAAATTTTAAATTAAAAATATTATTTAAATCAACTTTGTGGGACAATATTTAAATAGTTGAGATTAAATACAATAAACTACATTTATTTCATAACAGTAATATAGCAGATCTTATGACTTAATGTGTTGTAATATAATTTAGTAGATATATTGCAGTAAATAATACTATTACTCTGGTATATAGAAGTTTCATGTATCTCCTAGATTTCCTTTTTCTTTGGTGGTTTTGCATTTAAAGAACAGACTAAGCAAAAACTTGCTTAACATATGAAATCTGACAAGATTACAGGTTTTAACTCTAGGATAATGAGCTTATTTTATTCATTAAGGCCCTAAGGACTAAAAGAACAGTCAAAAGAATCAATCCTAGGCCTTCATGGTATCATGTAAAAATACTGTTATTAAAATAAGAGGTGAAATATTATTTTTACAAAAGTAATTAAATATTTAAAACAATTTTTATACATATCCCTAATTTTTATCAATATAGTGAATGTTCAGTTAGAAAAGCAAAAACATCAAAAGACACAAAGTTACAATGCTATATTTTGTAATGTCACTAACTTTATCCATAGGGTACATACTATATCAAAGGGCACATGCTATATCAATTAAAGTTTGCTTTGAATTCATGTGCTATTGAACAGATTGAGAAATAAAGCAGAGGAAAAATTTGTAAAACTGCTGTTGCACAATTCCTAGAATGTTGTTGTATACTACATAATTATGTATGAAGGGAATTTAAGGTTTCAGAAGGCATTTACCTCTGAAGACTTTTTACTAGTAGTTTCCAGAAAACCAGCTGCATTTAGAGAGAGGAGAAATTGCCTGGATTTCCAAGTAGCTTTTCTGGGAGTAGTTGGTGAGCTCGTCTAACTTTCCTGTATGTATGTATCTCTCAGATATGCCACTTTACCCTGCTTTATCTCATTGAGTATTTAACTCTAAGTATTTCGTGTAGATATCTTATCACAATTTCTAATGTTAAGAGCATCTGTTACTGCTTTCCCAAGCTTTTTCCACCCAGTAGATCACTGTTATTATAAGAGGTACTGCTTTTGTTTTTTTTGCATGTTCTTGGCTTTACTCTCAACACCATTGCTCCAGCGCTTTTGTACTTACTTTTAATAACTCTAAATTGGTAGTTTCCTTTGAGATCAAATGAAAACTGGCTTGCTTCAACTTATTATTTTCAATATTAACTGAACTGAGACAGAATATTACTTCAAAGAAAAAATGTTAAGACTTTTATGATCACATTTTTCCGGTATTGCCTTTATCTATTTAATGATAGTCATACATATATTCCATAATTGTGCAGGTATCATCAGTGTCAAAATTCATAGTGAAATTGACAATATCTGTTTAATATCTCTTCTTAAGGTATGTTGGGATATTATTTCATAGCTTTCTAAGTTAAAGTAATAGCTTTCAATTAGTAAAAATGTATAATAAAAATAATAAGGATCCATTGAAAATTAAGTTTTAGGGTAGCTAAAGCCCTTGAGTCCCATTACGTAAGTGTCAAACTTTGGCTCTTTTAACAGTAAATGATGATGGTAGAATAGCATAAGGCTGAGTGTCAGTAGTCCTGTGTTTTAAATCCAGTTTTATCCTAGACAAACAGAATTATTGGAAGAACTCAGGTTACTTTTGCTTTAAATCTGTTTTCCCATCTGTTAAAAGGGTAACAAAATTCAACGTAATTTGAAAGTTAAGTGATAAGAGTTTGAAATTTCTCTGCATTAGTATCATATAGATTCTTGAAATCATGTAAGTTGAGCAAGGAATGCACCTCATTTGTGGAAAAAGGGGAATTAGCCTTTATTTAGAGGCTTTTATTTGCAATGGGAGAATGAGAATTCTGAGGAATTCCACTAGTAAACATCATTTTGGAAATGTTAAATCGTGTTGCCATTGTCCCCCCATAACCTCCTTGCCCTGTAAAACAGTAAACATACACACAATGTCATCA